>NC_000006.12:115676850-115979880 GCF_000001405.40 Homo sapiens
CTTTTACAATTTGTATGGTTAAGACATCCCACACTATTGTAAAATGGTCTATAGTCAAGAGTCTTAGCTATACTTGGGAGTCAAAAAACCTGGGTTTGAGTTCTGACTTTAAGTACCACCTGTGTGACCTTGGACAATCACTTATGCTCTCAGAGCCTCAACTCCATTATCTATAAAAATGAGAACAATAAGACAATAACTACCAGGGTTATTATGAAGGTTAAACGGAATAACGGAAGTGAAAACTGTGCAGATGGCAAATTGCTATACAAATAAAAGGTATTATTATAGGGAAAGAACACAAAAGTATTTTCTCAGTTAGAAAATGATAAACCTATGACGGAAATTGGAATTTCACTTAGTTTTAAAGCAGAAAAAGCCCTGCCAAGTGGAAATAGAGATTTGAAGTAGGGAGTGTTTAGCTACTTTTAACTGCATTGGAACAGTGTGCCCTTTTTGGTCTGAACAAATCTGTCCCTTACTCGTTGTCAGCCAGCCTAATATAATAAATCCTGAGGGATGTGCTGAACTCATTTGGCCAAGGTTTTCAGCTTGAGGCTAAAAATCTTGTGGAGCAAGCACTCTGGCCTCACAAAACCACCGTGGAGTCATTAGTGTCCATATTGAGCAGATCAGGCTCTGATTCAGGTTTTATCGCAAGTAATACCTTTGATATATTTTTCATGTTCACTGCATTAAACATTAATATGTGAATGCCACAATAAAGGGTGCAGTTTTTCATTAAATAAATAAATACGCACCAAACTTGAGCAAGAAAAGAACCATTTAAAATCAGATATCATATAGCAAAGAAAATAAACCAATGTTGTCATTACAGGTAAGAATTATAGACATGACTTATACAAAGAAGGTGAAAAGGTCAGAGGGAGAGGATAAAATCCTTGACATGCCAAGCAAAGAAAACCATTTCTGCTTTTTTCTCCTCTGAAACCTGTAATGCAATAAACATAATTCCTCCAGTACGTTTCATACAAAAAGGAGGTTCAGCTGAAAACTGTAGGTAAATCACAGCTAGAAAGGTAGCATAATTTATGTAAGAACTCCCTCAAGATATCCCAGTGAGCACTATATTGTTGTTTTTGCCTTATAAGAATTTGAAAAATCACATTAAAATTAAAATCAAGGACATACATGTAACACATTACACAACTTCTTCAGAAAAAAATTCTAAATGTATTGCCCTTAGTAATAGCTCATCATTCACATATTAAAATTTATTAAATGAATAACTGCATTTTTAAAACGTTATTAAGCCCAGGTGATTTTTCAATAACCTCTCTTTCAAAACGAGGACACAGAAAAGTTAATATTTGGGGTTTTCTTTTGGTCAGAAAATATCATTCTGTTTTATTAAAACTTCTACGTTCAGAGGTAAACCAAACATTTCTATTAATATGATGGTACAACCATGATTGAAATATTCTGATTATTTTAGAGCAAAAGAGACAAATTTGCAATTTCCAGTGTAATTGACTTGGAAATTGCTTTTCTACTCTAACTTGAATCTTAAACAGATGAAAAGGTGTGTGTATATGTGGAAGGGAGTTGGGGTGGTGGAAAGTGTATAAAGATAGGTCTTGCGAGAAAAAAACACATACTGACTACTGCTTTCACAAAACATCTGTAGAAGTTTTGGCTAATTACTCACAGTTGGAACAAATGAAAATATTTTTCAAAGAGATATTAAGTGGGTTGAAAGTGGAGGGAGAGAATAGTGGAAACATTGAAAAACAAGACTGTTGCTGAACCAAAAGAATAAGGTGGGAATGGAGTTCCAGGCATGCTAGAGAGGTATTTCTGAGACAGACTCAATCCCATTGGATTTGCTGGATGTGGAAGGTGCAAAGAAAGGACAGAGTTGAATGACCCTGGTGTTTGGAGCTTAGGATTAGGTAGAGGAGTGATGCCATCAACTGAGTTCAAAATATAGGAAGATTGTTTTTGGAGAATGGTCTGAGAAAAATATACATAGAGAGAAAAAGCCATTTAGGTGAACAATTATAAATTCCATTTCCACTGGGATAAGTTTGAGGTGCCTATGATTTATCCAGATGTATAAAGTTGGTATCTGGAACTACAAATCTAGAGTTAGGGAGGACTCTAAGGGAGAGCTTCTGAGACTTTCATGGGCAAAGAAATCATTAGGGAATCTTGTTAAAATGCAAATTGTGAGTCAGTGGGTCTGTGTTGAGACAAAAGGGTCCACCTTTCTTACCAGATCTCTAGTGATACCAATGTTGCTTGTCCAGGGATGATACTTTTAACAGCAAGGCTCTAACTAACATGAAGAGTAATCTGTTCAAAAAGGGTTCCTAACAAGTGAGGAAATAAGCCTCAGATATAGACAAGCTAGGGTGGTCCTTACACTGAAAAATATAGTATATCACCTAATACAGCTTCATTTTGTTTTGCGTCATCCGGATGGTGACTCAGTGAGGGATATCTAAGCTTAACCAATCACAAACAAAATAATTCCATTTAAAATGACTGCATTGAGGCCGGGTTTGGTGGCTCACGCCTCTAATCCCAATACTTTGGGAGGTTCAGGCAGGTGGATCACTTGATGTCAGGAGTTCGAGACTAGCCTGGCCAACATAGTGAAACCCCATCTCTACTAAAAATACAAAAATTAATCAGGCATGGTGGCGTGCATCTATAATCTCAGCTACTCAAGAGGCTGAGGCAGGAGAATCACTTGAACTTGGGAGGTGGAGTTTGCAGTGAGCCGAGATCGCACCATTGTACTCCAGCCTGGGTGACAGAGTGAGACTCTGTCTCAAAAAATAAAATAATAAAATAAAATGACTGCATTCAATATAAACTTCAGGTATAATATAGTGAATGTCTATGACTTCTGAAACTCCAGTGCCCAATTAGTGGTCATCTGATGGTCATGTTCACAGACTCCCCTGAAAAAAACTTGGTTTCCAGTCAGTTTTTCCATCATCAAGAGGCAGGGACCATATTTGGGTAATTTTTATGTTCAACCCCCACCCTTCACACAGCCCTTTACTCACAATAACTGTTCGCTGAATGTGTGTCTGATTAACCTCCAGCTCTAACATTCTATGACTCCTTAATTTTAAAGTTGCATCATGGTAAATTCTGTCATCTCTTAATAAAAATACTCATGCAGTTACCTGGATCAGTATCTTCGCTGTGAAGCCATCTGCTCAGAGTTCACTCTGATGCACACAGAGGGTTTCTCAGATCCAGAGCTAAGAGATGAACTAAAGCCTTATGAAGTAGGAGTACTAATTCTGATTCCTTCAGAATTCATTTGCATCTTCTGGCTTATAATCTCAACAAGATTCAGATCCACCCTTTTGGAGCGAATACCATACAAGTGTATGGACATTCTGCTCTCATGGCTGAGCCTCAGGCATCAGCTGAGAAGTGAGCATACATTGGGTCTCAGCTGGCTACAACCACAAGCTCTGGATAAGGCCTTTGACAGCTTCTTATTTACCACAAACCTGTGTTATAACCACTTCCCTGTGTGCAATGTTTGCTCCTTCATGCCACACCTAGGTATCCCCATTAGCTGGAATAACCCTGAATAGCCCTGCCAGGGGAAGGGACTTCCTATACAGATATTATATTCCTTCTTGCCTCAGAGTGGTTTTTTAGCAATGTGTATCATTTCTGTAAGTTCTTAACATTGACACATAGTTCAAATACAGAATATGTCATTTGCTATCTTCATCTTGACTTTGTGGCCAACTTCATTTCTTTGTCTTTTCACTACCTAAGCCTATCACTGTTGTGCATCACAAGTCTCCTGTCATGGTCTTCTGATAACTTAAGTTGCCCTAATGGCCTTCCTAAACACCCTCTGTAGTACAATCTGTTCCCCTTGGCACTCACAAGCACCACCAGGTTCTGTGGGTATAGTCTGTTTGTTATCCTTCCTGGCACTGTCATCATGCCCCAGTGATGGAGCTCATTGCCCCAGTGTTCCGTGGCTGTCACCATGAGAGAGGAGCTGTATGAGGTGCAGCAGGATGTCCATCCAGACTCCAGTCTGATTATCACCACATCCTGATTACAGCCCGAGCAACTTATGAAAGTGCCATCTGAACACGTTGGCAGGATTATGCACTCCTAATTTGAGAATCCACTGCAGAGCAGCAAAAAGCCCTAGAGTGAAGCACAGCCAAATGGCTTTGCTCCTCATAATAAGATGACAAATCTATATAGCGGGCATCAGGCCACTGCTAATGCTGCTCTTCGATGGAGTGCATTTGAAAACAATACCGACAATAACTTCTATTCTACAATTTGTCAAATACAGCAGGTACTGTGCAACCAGCCAGTACAGGTGCCCAGCTAACACCACAGGGCTTACAACCAAAGAAGACAAAAAAGTATACCACCACAACCAAAATGTCTTCTCAACAAGTCCAAAGAAGAAAACCAGATTTTGTAAAGCCATTCTTAGCAATGATGTTAAAATGATCCAAATGACCTTTACCTCTCCCTCTGATTTTCCTGTTGAGCTTCACACCTCTATTAAATTATTCTTTGGAATTATTTTATCTGTCATTAGTGTGATTTTCTTTGTCCTTTCATGATGTGTCAGCCTGGGAAACGCAAAGACCATAACTGATTTATTTTGATGCTCAACCTCCAACCTTCATATAGCCCTTTGTTTACAGTCACTAAATGTGTGACTGACTAAATTATAGCTCTAACATTTTATGACCATTTTAAACTAATAAAAAAATTCCTGTTTCTTCCAATGTCTTTCATATACTTACAATAAATATCCACCAGTAGCTTTTGAAGGGTTATATAATATTAGAGTTATAAAAGCCTTAGGTATCACCTAATCCTATCCCAGGACCCTTTTGGTGAAGGAAAAGAAAGTACCAAAAGCCGAAGGAACTTTTCAAGGTAATGGGTTTTTTTATGGCACAGCCATAATGAAACCCCTGTCTCATCTTTCCCAGCCATGCCCTGCACACTCACTGTGCTGTGATCCTTCTGAGCTGGTTGCCATAACTCTCTCCCTCATGCTGCACTTAGCTCGGTTTCTTGGACTCCTAACTTATAAATGTGCATAAAATTGGTGATATTTCTTTCCCACTAATGTCCCATCAGCATGCTTTATAAGGTAAAATCATAGACATCTTCACCCCCAAATTTCCAAGCATCTTAAGGCTGTGACAAAGGAAATGGCATCTGTCTTCAATAAACAAAGGTCTTTGATAAAGACTAGCCACTCAGAAAAACGTCTCTGGCTGGGCCACTCTGCTTGGCATTATTCAAGCTGCAGCCCTTCAGTGGTGTGTGGACTTAGCGCTTGTTCAGCCTCACAGCAATTACCAACAGGGTACTTGTGCCAGTGTCCATAGTGGTGGCAAGAGGTTTGCTAAGTTCTTTCCTTTGGTCTAGGAAGGATTTTATACTTGAGGAGAACTGAAAGGGGAGGATGCTTAGAAGAATGTCTTGTTTGGAACACAGTTGAACACAAAAACTAGGAAAACCTCCGTTTAAAATCTGAACTACAGGATAATGATTAATTTATAACATTGATTGTCAACCCTGACCGCAGAGTGGAAATCAAAAGGGAACTTCTAAAATTACCAATACCTGGGCCCACTCCAGACCATTTAAATCAGAATTTCAGGGGGCTTGGAACAGGCATTACAACATTTCAAAGCTCCCCAAGTGAAGAACTATGCTGCCAGAGCTGAGATTGCTAAATTGCGCCTTGGTCATCCCTCTATGTTCATGCCCTAGTTCAGCTGTTCACATACTTTTTTTTTCACCATCCAACATGCCTGGGTACTAGGAAAGTTACCTCTTTTAGTAACAGAGGCTCATTAAAGCATTTAAGGGGGCAAGGGAGTACTTCATGAGAGCAATGAAGTAGATATCTTCTAGGAAAGCTTGTCAGAATCTCACTGGGAGGGAAAAGCTAAGAAAACTTGTGTGGGTTGAAAAATCCCTGCAGCTATTTCTCATCTCCAACCCCCTTGATGGTCAGAGACTTTTATCAAGATTTTTCCTTTCTCCTTGGTAATACAGAAGTAACGTCTAATTCCACATCACATCATTCCGTATTAAATAAGGGTCCTTGCTTTCCTTGATGCCCATCTTCAGATCAAGTCTGGTTTTATTGTTTTTGGCCAAAATCTGTTGCAGAACTTACACAGTAAAAGTGTTCTCTAACCTTATCTTTCTGATGAATTACAGCTTAAGAGTGTGTACCTAAGAATGCTAAAAAAAGAAAAATAATATTTTAGAGGCAATTCTAAAAATACATTATTACATGTATTATATTGTCATATCTAAAATAGCTTTAGCTCTGATTTTTAAACAGGTATTTCAAATATAGCCTCTTAAATTTATTTACTTGTCAGTGTTAGGCAAGAAACAACTTACTTTTGTGACTAAAGCATTGATCTCAAGTAAATATTAATTGAAATTTATTTGAAAAACATCTGACATGGATCCAAGCAGATTAAATGAGGAAAAAATATATCCAGAAACTGCTTCGTCAAGCCTCCAAATGCAGGAGCATTGGCTCAAGGAAGATGGCCAGCTGGTCAAAAAAGCTTGAGTTTGAGAAAACTCACTGTATTCAGAGTCTAAGCTACTATGATCACTTTGATTTTCAAGTACCACCTTTCTGGAGGTCTAGCGGGAAATATTTTATGTTAAATGAAAATATCAATCCACAAAGAAAAATAAAAACCAATTAATGCAACCATCAGAAGTGAACAAGCAATTTAAGCACTCTTCTTTTAAAATACGGTGAACATTTCTTCTACAATTATCTTTCTTCAATTAGTACCTTTTGTTATGGGTTTATGGTAGATTTTCTTTTTAAAGGCAGGATAAAATGTTAAAAAATGCGACTTTAATCTTATTAGACTGGTTTTGCTGTTGTTGTTAAATAGTGCTTTAAGAATTGAAAGATTAACTTGAAAAGTGGGAAACAAACTATTAACAAAATATTTAACTCATTTAGTACAAGGAAATGGTCTGTTTAACTCAAAAAATATATATGAGCATTCAAAATTCACTCTGTCTTCAAAGTGATGGATATTCTAATTATCTGATTTGATCATTTACACATTGTATGCATGTGTCAAGATATCACTCTGTATCCCATAAATATATACATGTTTTATGTGTCAACTAAAAAAGAAAACACTTGATAACAAACAAAAAAATAAACAAACCAAAAGCACATATATCAGGCAACTACCTGGGGATGGGCTTTGACTCAGTAATGGAACTCATGTGTTCTCTCAAGAAGTTTATATCAAGTGTCATTTCCTCAAGCAAGACTTTAATACCCTGCAGACCAGATTAGGTTCTTCTAACTCTCCCTTACAGCACCCTGTTCTTCTCTTTTACATAACTTGGTAAAGATGCCTCCAAGTAATTTGTTGTATAATGAATCAATACCTATCTTCTTCAAGAACATTAGCTTCATCAGGGAGGTCACTGTATTTTGTTCACTAATGAATCCTCAGAAGTTCCAGCGGTGCCCGGCACAGAGAACATGCCCAATAATTATGTACAGAATGACTAAACAAATGAATATCAATAAAAGAGAGTAGACGGTGGCTTATACCTGTAGTCCAGCACTTTGAGAGGCTGAGGCATGACTATCACTTGAGGTCACGAGTTCAAGACCAGACTGGGCAGTGTAGTGAGACCTCATCTTTACTAAAAGTAAAAAAGAAAAAAAAAATGGGTATGGTGACACGCACGTAGTCCCAGATACTTGGGAGGCTAGGGTGGGAGAATCACTTGAGCTTCGGAGGTCAAGGCTGCAGTGAGCTACGATTGTGCCATTGCACTCCACCCTGGGTGACAGAGTAAGACTCTGTCTTGAAAAAAAGAAAAAAAGTAAGAAACAAAGAAAATAATAAGGAGGCATGCAAGAGAGATAAAGTAAGAAACCAGAAAGATGGCTATATGTCTAATTGGTAAGGGAAATATTCGTGGAGTGGAAAGATTTCTTTTTTTCAGAATCACATATTGATAAATTGTGTCTTTAAAAAGGGTAATGAGTTATTTTTAAACAGCTTGATTGATGTATAACTGATTTAAAATATATATGTTTAATATATACCATTTGATGAGCTTTGAACTTATGCATGCACCCATGATACCATCACCTCAGTCAAGGTAATAAATATATCCATCACCTCCAAGTTCCCTGTGTTCATGTGTGTGTGTGTGTATGTGTGTGTGTGTGTGTGTGTGTGTGATAAGAACAGTTAATATCAAGATATTCCCTCAAAATTTTAAGTGTATAATCCCTATTACTATAATACCAACAATATAGTATTATTGATAAGTACTGTGTTGATTGGCAGATCTTTAGATTTTATTTTGTTTGCATAATTGAAACTTGACACCCACTGAGCAACAAACTTCCCAATATCCCCTCCCCTCAGCTCCTGGATGGGGATTTCTTAAAGATCTTTCTTTGTTGTTTATAATATTCTTATTGAGGTATAATAGACATATAATAAACTGCATATGTTTAATGTGTACAACTTAATAGTTTTGAAATCTGTGTATACCAATGAAGCCACAGCTATAATCAAGATATTCATTATCTCAAATAATTGTCCTTGTGCCCCTTTGTAATTTCTTTCTCCTGTCTTTCCCTGGGTTCTAGTCTCCAGACAATCACTGATGTCTTTTCCGTAACTCTGGATTAGTTTGCATTTTCTAAAATGTTATATGAATGGAATCATACAGCATGTACTTTTTTGTCTGGCTTTTCTCACGCAGCATAATTATTTAAAAAATTACTGCTGTTGTTGCCTATATTAATAATGTATTCCTTTTTATTACTGAGTGGTATTACATTATATGGCTACATCACAATTGACTTACATTTACCTGTTGATGAATATTTAGGCTGTTTCCAATTTTTAGCTATTACCAATCAAGTTGCTATGAACAACTGTATGTAAGTCATGTGTGGATATATGCTTTCATTTCTTTTGCATAAAAAGACTCAAAAATAGAATGGCTGAATGTTAGTATATACATATATGTATATACATACATAAGTATGTACACATAAACATACGTGCATATGTACAGGCATATGTGTGTATATATAAATTTGTATTATATATTTGTATAATTAAATATTTAAGAAAGTTTATTAAAAGTCTTCTCATTTTACATTTCCAATCACAATTTGTGACAGTTCCAGTTGCTCCACATCCTCACAAAACTTCGTGTGATCAGTTTCTTGAATTGTACACATGATAGGTATACAGTGGTATCTCATGGCTTTAATTTGCATTTTCCTACTAACTAATGATGTTGGGTGTCTTGTCATGTGCATATTTCTATCCATACATTTTTGGTGAAGAATTTCTTCACATATTTTTCTCCCTTTTTCATTATTTTTATTTCTTATTGAGCTTTGAGAGTTCTTTATATATTTGGGAAACAAGTCTTTTATTAGACAAATGATTTACAAAATGTACAATTAGTCTTATTTGCTTTTCATTCTCTTAACAGCGTCTTTTGATGAGCAGGAGTTTTTAATTTTTATGAAACCAGAGTCATGGCTTAAACACTGAAGAAGCTGTGGAGAATTTTGCCTGGCTGGGGAGTTGTTTGCTTTTTGATTTACCAAAAGGTAGTGGAGTCACTGCCGAAACTTGAATCTGCATCACTAGGCATCACACTTCCCTCTCAGAGTTACTTTTCAAACTAGAAAAGTAGAGCAATGATCTCTCTAAGGCATTGTACTGTGTACACTTCCTGAGCCTGAACAACACGTTAGTATTAGGCATTCACTTCTGAATAGACAACCTGTCTCAGAAGACCACTATTCACTCAAGTGTGTTACTTATTTTCAGCTCCATATCTCTGCAGGTTCAATGGTGAAAAATCCAATAAGAAATATAGTTTAGAAAGAAGTTGCCACCTTTGTAGTTCTGCAGACTTAATGTGGACTATAGAAAATCTATTCCCTAGGCATTTGGCTAATTGAACACGGTCATCAAGATTAGCATGTCCCTTTGTTCTTGCAAAATCAGTCGGAATAAGCCATTAACTTTCTATTAGACTAGCATTAGTGGATTCAGTGTGTTGATCCCCTTCAGATAGAAAATTTATATGCAATAAATAATTTAACATTGAAATTTACATTACACATAAGTTTCCTGGTGTGATATCAGGGATTATTATCTGGAACAAATTACAGGCAAAACAATTTTTTGTACAATAGCCATACACCAAAAGTAGAATTTAAAAATTACCATTAGACCAACAAACCCTAAACTGACATTAGACACTATTAATTCAGAAGAAAAAAATAATCAACTGTCTTATTAAACATTGACACAAAATTCTAAGTTATATTTGGAAAATCAATATGTTTTCTGAAATTGAAGGAAAGCCAATAACAAGGAAAATCTTCACAAAGTCTTTAAAATATACTTATTTAAAACTAGGTATGCCCCTTTAACGACATTTGACCTTGCTTGTGAAGACAGCATCATTCCAGATTAAAACAAAAGAAGAGATTCAGCATTAGAATATACATCAGAAAAATATGTAATAATCTATGTCAGAGGAAGAGCAAAAACATAGACATTACTAGAAGAATAAAACATATATACCTTTCTAGATTTAGAATTATATGGCTTTATATTTTCTTTTCATCTCAATATATTTTCTTTCCTAATAGAAATCCTGCTAAAAAAAAACTACAATCAAGGACAATATATGATAATGAAGGTAGATTCCCAGAAGTGTCTTCTAATCTATGGCTGCTTCTTGAATAAGAAAATGAGAGAGGAAGATGCATTATTGCCACATTAAGCAATTAAGGGAATATCAAATTAGAGTGTCCAAAGAATGTTAAAAGTTGGCATAGTAAAATTTTTTCTCTGTCTTGAGTCAACCATCACTCACTTTATTCACAATACTTTTTAAATAACATCAGTACAACTTTCCTCTCAGCTTTCAAAGGAAGTATAAACAACACTTTCTCCTGGACCTACAGAGTGAAAAAAAAAATTCTATTTCCACTTCCACCAAGATCTAAGCCACATTTGCTCAGATCTGGCAGATAATTTCTTGCCAAGTCACAGAATTCACCCACAAAACAACTTCCAGAAAATCAGTGCATCAGTGTGTCAAATCAGAAGTTACGGGCCAGGCTCCAAGGCTCATGTCTGTAGTCACAGCTACTCAGGAGGCTGAGGCAGGAAAATCACTTGAGTTTCATAGTTCAAGGCTACCGTGAGCTATCATGGTGTCACTGCACTCCAGCCTGGGCAACAGCAAGACCCCATTTCTAAAATAAAATTTTAAAAAATTAAAAGTTGTGGTCTGGCAGGTGCGTAATATGTCACCAGCATGGAAACCAAGGAACCTGGGTTTTGGTCATTAACTATCTCTGTCAGGTAGCCACCCACAACATAAGAGAGCCACCTTGGAAGACATCATCTGAGTAGAATGGGATAGATTTATTTTCCCGTCCTCCTCCAAAAATCTTAGAACTGAAATCAAGTCGGAAGTGGGGCTCTGGTGGGTACTGATCCTTCTGACTGCAATAACAAAAGCATCACAAAATCCAGGTTATCCACACTCCTTTCCTCACAATCCCTGATTTGGCAATGATCAGTTGAGGCCTCTATGTGCTTTCTCTCAGGAAGACCCCTTTGGGTCTGAAGTCTCAGGGTGAGCCAGGACCTGGGCATGGGGAAACACAGCAAGGAGCTGGCTCTGGTTCTGACGTTAGGAAGAAAGTTGATGGTGAGAAATATTTGGCAGTAGGCTATGTGTATTTTTCAGTGAACAAAGATATTGCAGGAATGATGTAAATACCTTTGAAGCAGGGACATCAAATAGCCCCTAATAGTATCATGAGATATCACATAGAACTAATGACATAATGTTGGGAAAAAACTTTGAAATGCATGAATAGTAATAGCAATCAACATTTCTGTGAGATTTTTTATAGATTAGAATGCATTTACCCTTCCTCTTCTGCAAAACAGTGATAATAATGTTACCTACACAATAGAGTTACAGTTAAGTTAAATCAGTTAAAACGTGTAAAAAACCTGGAACACTGCTTAGTACATCCAGTATTATTATGTAAGTATTACGAATGATAATATTATTGCTGCCATTATTATTAGCTGTTTTTATACTCCCATACGAGATTATTATCCCAGCATAACAGATAAGAAAACTGAAATTTTCTAATTGTGCGTTTTGTGTTCTGATACACCATGTTGTTAATACTAGCAATTATTACTATTATTATTACTAATACAGTTAATATTCTTTTAGTACTAAAATGTGTCTAGCAGAGAGCTAAACCTTCCATACATGTTAGTACATTTAATTCTTGCTACTATCAGATGAGGTAAACTTATCTGCATTTTATTAATGAAATGACTGAAGCCCAGAAAAGCTGAATACATTAATCAAAATTATACAACTTAGGATAAGTCGAGCAGGGATTTGAACACACATCATGTTGCCTAAAAAGCATAAATTCTTAACTATTCTTACTACTGTCTCCTTTTCTGTTACAACCACACTAGGATTTGTCAGTTTTTCAGTTCAATCGCAATTGACACATGGATCAAATTAATGGGTCGTAGAGGACCTCATATTCTTTCTCTTGTCTGGAGTCTGGTCTAACAAAAGAAGAAACTATTTATTATGATGCTGTTTTCAAAAGTCACTTATCCTCAAAATATCAGTCCTACTCTTTGACATTTAACTCTCACTTTACTTGGGGGGGAGCTGGGAGAAGTTGTCCTGTGTATTGTAGGATGCTAAGCAGTACCCCTATCCTGTATCCCCTAAATAGACCACGCCACTATAGCCAGTAGTGAAAGCTAAAAGTGTCTTCAGATACTGCCAAATGTGCCCTAGGGACAAAACTGTCTGATGTTGAGAATCACTGATTTCCTTGTGAAGATGTTCATACTTCTTAGGAGGTGATAAGCTTTATCCAATAACAAGGATTTAAACCCATATCACAAGGAAAAATTGCGTCCAGGTTAATTTGGTGAAGATGAGAAATGTCAGCACAGAGAGGACTGCCTGGAGGTCACAGAGACAAACTTCAGCTTAAATCAGCTCAACAAACATTCACCAAGTGCAACCAGGCTCTGGGCTATGCTCAGGAGCTGTAGGAAGGAACCTCACAACCCTGACCTTCAGGACCCACCAGTAGGTATCACCTTCTCAAAGTTTTGCCTGAGGCTAGCTCTGCCGCAGCGAGACCTTTCTCAGATGGTTAATTCCTGTGATTTTAAGTTAATGACTCTCCATTTGTTCTCTCTTCTCTCTTTCTGCAGTTACCTGGAAGGTGGGACCTGGATTTAAAGTTTTAATAGACAGAGAGTAAAAGTCCATGTTCCTTGAGGTCAGAGAGCAGGTTATTTCTAACTTCAAAAGCATAAAACTCTACTTGGATGAAAACAAAAAGTTACTCTGAGGCCAAAACCTTGGCATTCTAAAAGTGTTTCATCTCCCAAGGTTTCCGCGGCTGTTTCAGGAGTTCTTTAGGTTTTTGTTGGTTATTTCTGGGTTTTAGAAAATATTATTTTTAATAAGCTTAGGGTTTTTTTTTCTTCTTTAGAGAAAGACCGTATGAGTTCAAATCCTGGCTGTGTCGCTTACTATTTGTGTGTCACTGGGTTGATTCCTCAAATTTTCTGTGCCTCAGATAAATTTTTAGATTTAGGAGAAATAACGGTGCCAACATCATTATGCTAGTTGTAAAGATTAAATCAGCTAATATTTATTAAGCACTTAGAGTAGTTCCTAGCACATAATAAGTACTCAATAAATGTTAGTTGTTAATATTAATAGCCAACATTCTGGCATCCATCATGTGCCTGCCTCTGTGCTAGACATGGTAGATTTGCTATCTTTTTTTTAAACCTTCACAGAAATCCTATGATGTAAATATTACTGTCTTTACATTGTTATAGATGTAAAACCTGAGATTCCAGAAGATAAATTACCTGCCCATAGTTAATAAACGTCACAGTAAACTTTCCCAAAGTCTTAGTAAATGAATTCAAAAGTCTTCATCCTTAGTTCAGACTCAGTAAGTTAACAACAATTAAATATGGAGGAAGAGATAGCAACTAAACACTGGGCACAGAGATGCAGAGGGTGGTAAACATAATGGTTAAGCCTTTAGAGACAAATAACCCTAGATGCTGGGCAGGCTTCTCTCATAAATGTTTTCGGTTTTGTTTTTGACTCCTGAAGAGGCATACTTCAGTTCTTTGGAAATTTCAGTTATGAGGGAGAATATGCGGTAAAAGATACTAGGCAAAGAGTTATAAAGATCATTTTTTTAAAAAAAATCTTCATCTATTTATCCCTTCAATGTGTGTATATAGTGATTACCATTATAGGTTGAGTTGTGGCTCCCAAAACCCATATTTTAAAGCCCTAACCCCTGGTACCTCAGAATGTGACTTTATTCAGAAATAGGATTCTTTTAGATGTAATTAATTAAGATAAGATCATAATGGAGTGGGGTGGATTTCTAATCCGATATGACTAGTATCCTTTTACAAAGGAGAAATTTGGAGACAGACAAGCATGAAGGGAAAATTAGGTAAAGAAACACATACACAGGGAGAAGATGGCTGTCTACAAGCCAAGGAGAGAGGCCTGAAACAGATTCTTCCCTTACCACCATCAGAAGGAACCAAGCTTACCCACACCTTCATCTCAGACTTCTAGTCTCCAGAACTGTGAGGCAGCTGTCCTCTTTGCAGTGACTCACCATTTTAGGGTACATCTGTCTTGTGGCACCTCCATGCCAACACACTACTTTAAGATTTTCCATTTTCTCTTCATGGGAAGAGAGCCCTGAAGAGCCTCACCCTGGAAAATAAGTGTCATTTCTGCTATCAGCTAGACCATGCCTTTTCTAACTTCAAGAGGGCTGGTAAAGATAAGCATCCTATGTCCAAGAAGGGCAGGACAACTAACAACACCCACTGTAAAATAGCTACATGCTTAGTACTACGGACATGAAAGTTAAAAAAGCAGATAGAATCCTTACCCTTACAGGAAGTATGATATAAAGGAGGAGGCACAACTGATACATAACACAAATACAGGCAAATAATAATGGTATAAATAAGTAAATGAATCGTTAACACAGATTTTTTTAAATGCAGAAACAATTCAAATGGTGACAAGTGCCTTGAAAGAAAGTAACAGTGCACTTGATAATGAATAGCAGAGCCAAAGGGATATACCACACACAGCTACCTGGCAAGACTTTCAAGATGAGACTTGATGGATGAGGAAGAGCAAGCTATGCAAAGGGCAGAGAGGAGAGTCCTCCAAGAATACACCTTTTTATGTTATAATATCAATATTTTTTTTTTTTAGATGGAGTTTCACTCTTGCCACCCAGGCTAGAGTGCAATGGCGCGATCTCGGCTCACTGCAACCACCGTGTCCTGGGTTCAAGTGATTCTCCTGCCTCAGCCTCCTGAATAGCTGGGATTACAGGTGCTCACCACCACACCCGGCTAATTTTTCTATTTTTAGTAGAGACACGGTTTCACCATGTTGGCCAGGCTTGTCTCAAACTCCTGACCTCAGGTGATCCACCCGCTTAGGCCTCCCAAAGTGCTGGGATTACAGGCATGAGCCACCGTGCCTGGCCAATATCAATACTTACATAGTGCTTGTGCGCCAGAAGCTATTCTACATTCTTTAAATATAGATATATATTTAATAGCATTTTATAGATAAGGAAAGAGATATTGAAGTGAAATGACTTGTCTAAGGTCACACAGCTAGTAAGTAGGAGAGCAAAGATTCAAACTCAGGCACTTTGGTTCTACAGTCTGTGTGCTTAGCCACTAAGCCTGCTACCTATGGATATGAAGGACTCAACTCGTTTAAGGAACTTAAAGAAGAATAGTATGGAATAAGAGAGGGGCCTTAGAGAGTAGATTAGCAGAGACTAGATCTTGCAGGGCCTTATATGCCTTATAAGGGGTTTAAATTTTATCCTGAAATACAATTTGAAGCCACTTAAGTGTTTTAAGAAGAGCTATGAAGTGAAATGATTTATACTTTACAATAATACTGTCCTGGGGAAATTAGATTAGGTCTAGATTGAAATCTGGGAAGCCTCTATATTAGCTAAAAAGATACTTTGTGTGAGTTCTCTATTGTTTCTGTGACAAATTAGGCAAAATTTAGTGCTTAAATAACAGATTTAAAACTTCACAGTTCATCATCAAACACAGATCTCAATGGTCTAAGATGAAGTTATGGGCTTTTGTTCTGGAAGTTCTAGGAAAGAACAATATCTTGGATGTTTCTATTTTGTAGAGGCTGCCTGCTTCCCTTGGCTGGTAGCCCCCTTCCTCCATCTTTGAAGCCATCAAGGTCCCCAGTACTTCTCAGATTCTCTCTTTCATGTTTAATAACCCTTGTGTTTACATTAGGCCCTCCCAGATAATACATGGTAATCTCTCTAATATCAAATGATTAACAACTTTAATTCCATCTGCAATCTTAGTTCCCCTTTGCAATGTAGCCTAACATATTCACAGGTTCCTTGGGATTAGGATAGATATCTTTGGAAAGCCATTATTCTGCCCACTGCAGGCCTTTTAGACTATCAAGAATGGCTTGACTTAATAAACAAGGCATCATCTTATAATGAAATTCTTAGCAACCATTAAAAACAAAAATGTTTATGACATAAAATGATAATATAAAAAGATTTATGTGATAAAGTGCAATATAATGTGAACTCTACCATCTCCCACTCCTGGATTTCCTCCAGATGGGTCAATAGGAAGGACAGGTAAGGAAATGTTTGCTTTATGCCCAGTGAAAATGCCAGGTGGAAACAGCAAGCATATCAATGCTCTGAATGTCACCAGCCTGACACCTTTGAACTAAATTCTTCCCCACAGGACCTCAGTCATTGTCCTCTGCAGAGACTGTCCTCTAATTCCTCTCCCTCTTATAGTCTCAAGAATTTCAAGTCTGCCCATTCTTTCCTCCTTTACCATATCTATGTTTCCAGTTTGACAACGAAAAATAAACTCTTCTTAATGACTAATTTATGTTTTCTTTGATTCTACTGATTCAACCCCTCCTGGTTCTCACAACAAAATATAAAATTTAAAACAGTATATTTCCTAGTATGTATCACCACCTACAGAACCACCTAGAGAGTGCATTTGCCAAAATATTAATTAATATAAATATCAATAACTCCCTATTATAATACATATTTTTTCCTCTGATCAGCATCATTCATGCTTCTTGCCTATTTTGTGCACTTGACGGTATCCTCAGGCATGTGAGAAACACAGACCCTGATTAAATAAATCAATCTATGTTGAAAGCTGATAAAATTATCATGAGCAGATCAACAGGACTCCAACAGCACCAAAATAGAGGGAATAGAGTCCATTTTGCCTCACTCGCTTTCTGAGGAAGACTGTACCTCATTTATTTTTCTCTCCCCATTGACTAATGTCTGCCTGCTCATTTAATTTGAAGTTGTGGAGCTAGGGATTGTGCACCTGTTCTTTATTTTATGTATCCACTTTCCCCCCACCTTCAATTTCTTAACATTAATCCTTTATTTTACAGCAACCATAACTGCCACCTGGCACCTGAAGCGTGGAGCTTACCAATGTTTAATAGAGTTTTTAATGCAAAGCCTGCAAAATAATTCTGAAAACACAATATGTATGCATAAATGCTTCTTAACCCTTTGTCCCAAGTATAGAGCACTTCCAGAAATTCCTTATTTTTTTAGATAGAAGTTAGGCATGTAGGCTTTCGAATTTTAAAGATTTTATGGAAAGATATCAGAATAGTATGCATATTTGGGCAAGAAAATTAGGTTCTAATAGACTACAAATGGGTGACATTTATTGTCACTGAAATGTGGTTATAAGAATATTCTTAGCAAACTGAACTCCAGTTTTTCCCCAGCTTTATTAAGCTATAACTGACAAATAAAAATTGTATGTATTTATAGTATACAATGAAATAATGTCATACACACATATTCATAGTGAAATGATTAAAATAAGCTAATTGATATATCCATCACCTAATATACTTACCAGTTTTTGTTGTGAGACATGTAAGATCTACTCTTTTAGCAGTTTTCAAGTATACAATATAAAGGCACACCTTATTTTATTGCACTTTATTGGACTTTGCAGATATTGCACATTTTACAAATTGAAGGTTTGTGGCAACCTTGCATTAAGCAAATCTATCAGCACCATTTTTTCAACAGCATGTGCTCACTTCAGTTCTCTATGTCACATTTTGGTAATTCTCACATATTTCAAATATTTTCATTGTTATTATATCTGTTATAAGTGGCACCACAAACCATGCCCATATAAAACAGAGAACTTAATCAATACATGTTATGTGGGTTCTGAATACTCTACCAACCTGCCACTTCCCCTTCTCTCTTCCTTTCTGTGGGTCTTCCTGTTCCCTGAGACACAACAAAAACTGATATTATGCACATTAATAGCCCTATAGTGGCTTCTAAGTGTTCCAGTGAAAGGAAGGGTCACATATCTCTCATTTTAAATCAAAAGCTAAAAATTATTAAGCTTAGTTAGAAAGGCATGTTGAAAACTGAGATAGGCCAAAAACTAAGCCTCTTGAGCCAAAGAGTTAACCAAGCTGCAAATGCAAGGAAAAGGTTCTTGAAAGAAATTTGACAGTGCTACTCCAGTGAACACACAAATGATAAGAAAGCAAAACATCTTATTGCTGATATGGAGACAGTTTGAATGGTTGGAATAGAAGCTCAAACCAGCCATGCTATTCCCTGAAGCCAAAGCCTAATCCACAGTAAGGCCCTAACTCTCTTCAAAGAGGTGAGGAAGCTGCAGAAGAAAAGTTGGAAGTGAGCAAAAGTTGATTCATGGGGTTTAAGGAAGAAAGCTATCTCCATAACATAATAGTGCAAGATAAAGCAGTAAATGCTGATGTAGACGCTATAGAAATTATCCAGATGATCTAGCTAAGATCATTAAAGAAGGTGGCTAGCCTAAACAGATTTTCAATGTAGATGAAACAGCCATCTATTGAAAAAAGATGCCATCTAGGACTTTCATAGCTAGAGAGAAGTGCTTGAATTCAAAGCTTCAATAGACAAGCTGACTTTATTATTAGGAACTAATGCAGCTGGTGATTTTAAGTTGAAACCAATGCTTACTTACCATTCCAAAAATCCTAGGGCCCTATATTTAGAAAATCCCATCGTCTCAGCCCAAAATCTCCTTAAGCTGATAAGCAAATTCAGCAAACTCTCAGGATACAGAATCAATGTGCAAAAATCACAACCATTCCTATGCACCAATAATAGACAGAGAGCCAAATAATGAGTGAACTCCCATTCACAATTGCTACCAAGGAATAAAACTTACAAGGGATGTGAAGGACCTCTTCAAGGAGAGCTACAAACTACTGCTCAAGGAAATCAGAGAAGACACAAACAAATGGAAAATCATTCCACACACATGGATAGGAAGAATCAATATCGTGAAAATGGCCATACTGCCCAAAGTAATTTATAAATTCAATGCTATCCCAATCAAGCTACCATTGACTTTCTTCACAGAATTAGAAAAAAACTACTTTAAATTTCATATGGAACCAAAAAAGAGCCCGTATAGCCAAGACAATCCTAAGCAAAAAGAACAAAGCTAGAGGCATCAAGCTACCTGACTTCAAAGTACACTATGAGGCTACAGTACTCAAAACAACATGGTACCGGTACCAAAACAGATATATACACCAATGGAACAGAACAGAGTCCTCAGAAATAACATCACTCATCTACAACCATCAGATCTTTGACAAACCTGACAAAAACAAGCAATGAGGAAACGATTCCCTATTTAATAAATGGTGTTGGGAAAACTGGCTAGCCATATGCAGAAAACTGAAACTGGACCCCTTTCTTACATCTTATACAGAAATTAACTCAAGATGGATTAAAGACTTAAACATAAGACCTAAAATCATAAAAACCCTAGAAGAAAACCTCGGCAATACCATTCAGGACACAGGCATGGGCAGAGACTTCATGATTAAAACACCAAAAGCAATGGCAACAAAAGCCAAAATTGACAAATGGGATCTAATTAAGCTAAAGACCTTCCGCACAGCAAAAGAAACTATCATCAGAGTGAACAGGCAACCTACAGAATTGGAGAAAAATGTTGCAATCTATCCATCTGACCAAGAGCTAATATCCAGAATCTACAAGGAACTTAAACAAATTTACAAGAAAAAAAAACCCATCAAAAATGGGGGGGGGAAGAATACGAACAGACAATTCTCAAAAGAAGACATTTATGCAGCCAACAAATGCATGAAAAAAAGCTCATAAGCACTGGTCATTAGAGAAACGCAAATCAAAACCACAATGTGATACTATCTCATGCCAGTCAGAATGGCGATCATTAAAAAGTTAGGAAACAACAGATGCTGAAGAGGATGTGGAGAAATAGGAACCCTTGTACACTGTTGGTGTGAGTGTAAATTAGTTCAACCATGTAGAAGACAGTGTGGCAATTCCTCAAAGATGTAGAACCAGAAATACCATTTGACCTAGCAAACCCATTACTGGGTATATACCCAAAGGATTATAAATCATTCTACTATAAAGACAATGCACACATATGTTTATTGCAGCACTGTTCAACAATAGCAAACACTTGGAACCAACCCAAATGCCCATCAATGATAGACTGGATTAAGAAAATGTGTCACATATATGCCATGAAATACTATGCAACCACAAGAAAGTATGAGTTCATGTCCTTTGCAGGGACATGGATGAAGCTGGAAGCCATAATTCTCCGCAAACTAACACAGGAACAGAAAACCAAACACCTCATGTTCAACTAATAAGTTGGAGTTGAACAATGAGAATACATGGACAGAGGGAGGGGAACATAACACAGTGGGGCCTGTCGGGGGTCGGGGGCTAGGGTAGGGATAGCATTAGGAGAAATATCTAATGTAGATGTCAGGTTGATGAGTGCAGCAAACCACCATGGCATGTGTATACCTATGTAACAAACCTGAATGTTCTGCACGTGTATCCCAGCACTTAAAGCATAATAAAAAATAAAGATTAAAAAAAGAAACATGCTAAATCTATTCTGCCTGTGCTCTATTAAATGGAATAACAAGGCCTGGATGACAGCACATCTGTTTACAAATGGTTTATTGAATATTTTAGGCCTGCTGTTGAAACTTACTTCTTAGAAAAAAAATTTCTTTCAAAATATTACTGTTCATTTCATTGACAATGCATGTAGTCACTCAAGGGCTCCAATAGAGATACCCAAGAAGATTACTATTGTTTTCTTGCCTGCTAACACAGCATTCATTCTGCAGCCTATGAATAAAGGCATAATTTCAACTTTCAAGCCTTATTATTTAAGACATATATTTCATAGGGCTATAGCTACCATAGAGAGTGATCTGGGCAAAGTAAATTGAAAACTTTTTGAAAAGCAGCTGCCATTCTAGAAACCATTAAGAACAGTTGTGATTCATGGGGATATATCAAAATATTGACATTAAAGTCAGTTTAGAGGTTGACTTTAATCCTCACAGATGGCTTTGAGGGGTTCAAGGCTTCAGTGGAGGAAGTCACTGCAGATGTGTTGGAAATAGCAAGATAAACAGAATTAGAAGTGGAGCCTGAAGATATGCCTGAATTGCTGCAATCTCATCATCAAACTTAAACAGATGATGGAGCTTCCTATTATGGATGAGCAAAGAAGTGGTTTCTTGGAATGGAATCTGCTCTTGGTGAAGATACTGTGAACATTGTTGAAATGACAACAAAGCAATTAGGACATTACATAAATTTAGTTGATAAAGTATTGTCAGGGTTTGAGAGGGTTGACTCCAGTTTTAAAAGAAGTTCCACTGTAGAGAAAATGGTATCCAACTTCATCACACATCATGGAGAAATCTTTTGTGAAAGGGAAGAGTCAATTGATGTGGGGAACTTCATTGTTGTCTTAAGAAATTGCCACAACTACCCCAACCTTCCACAGCCACCACCCTGATCAGTTGACAGCCATCAACATTGAGGCAAGACCCTCCACCAGCAAAAAAAAATATGATTTGCTGAGGATCAAATGATAGTTAGCATTTTTTAGCAATAAAGTTTGTTTTAATTAAATATGTACATTGTATTTTAAACATAATGCTATTGCACATGTAATAGACTATAGTATAAATATAACTTTTATATGTACTGGGAAACCAGACTTTGTGGGACTCACTTGTGCTATTTGCTTTATTGCAGTGGTCTAGAACCAAACCCACAATACCTCTGAGGTGTGCATGTGTTATTATTAACTGTAGTCATATGCTGTACAACAGATCTCCCAAACTTACACATCCTGTCTAACTGAAACTTTGTACACTTTGATCAACTTCTCCCTGTTTCATTACCATCACCCATCCCCTTCCAGCTCCTGGATACCACCATTCTGTTCTATTATTCTATGAGTTCAACTTTTTTACATTCCACATGTAAGTGAGATCATAGCAGTATTTGTCTCTCTGTACCAAACTTATTTCACTTAGCATAATGTCCTCCAGCTTCATCCATTTTTAGCAAGTGACAGGATTTCCTTGTTTTATAAGGCTAAATAGTATTTCATTGTGTGTGTGTATATATATATATATATATATATCACATTTTCTTTATCCATTTTATCTGTTGATGAAAACAGGTTGATTCCATATCTTGGCAATTGTGAATAATGCTGCAATGAACATAGGATTACAAATATCTTTTGGACATGGTGGTTTCATTTTCTTCATAAATATACACAGAAGTGGAATTCCTGAATCATATGGCAATTCTATTTTAAATTTTCTAACCAAACTCCATATGTTTTTCATAATGGTTAGACTAATTTACATTCCCATCAAGTGTACAAGAATTCGCTTTTCTCTACATCCTTATCAACCTTTATTATCTTTTGTCATTTTGACAGCCATTCTGAAAGGTGTGAGGTGATATTTCACTGTGGTTTTAATTTGCATTTCACTGATGATTACTGATGTTGAGCATTTTTTGAATATGCCTGTTGGCCATTTGTATGTCTTCTTTTAAAAAATGTTGATTCAAGTCCTTTATCCATTTTTAAATCAAGTTGTTTTCTTGCTACTGGGTTGTTTTTGTTCTTATATTACAGTGTGAATATTAACCACTTATCAAATATATGGTTTACAAATGTATGTTCCCCTTTTGAAGGTTTTGTCATTACTTTGTTGATTGTTACCTTTGCTATGTAGAAGCATTTTAGTTTGATGTAATCCCATTTCTCTATTTTTACTTTTGTTGCTGTGCTTTGAGGTCATCTCCAAAAATAATCATTGTCCAGACCAGTATGAACAACATGTTCTTCTATGTTTTCTTCTAGTATATGTACTGTGTAAGGCTTAAATTTAAATCTTCAATCCATTTTGAGTTTATTCTTATATATGGTGGGAGATAAGCTTCTCATTTCATTCTTCTGCCTGTGAATATCTACTTTTCTAACACCATTTATTTAAAAGATTTATTTACTCATTGTGCATTCTTAGCTCCTTTGTTGAAGATCAATAGGACAAAAATGCATGAATTTATTTCTAGGGTCTCTATTTTGTTCTAATGATCTATGTGTCTGTTTTTATACCAGTTCCATGTTATTTTGACTATTATATTTCTGTAGTATATTTGAATCATATAGTGTGATGTCTCCACCTTTGTTCTTTTTGCTTAAGATTGCTTTAGCTATTTGGGGTCTTTTGTAGTCTCATACTAATTTTAGATTTTTTTTCCTATTTCTATGTAAAATGTTCTTGCAATTTTGATAGGAATTGCATTGAATCTGCAGATCACTTTGGGTGGTATGGACATTTTAACAATATTAATTTTTCCAGCCAATGAACATGGGATATCTTACATTTGTTGAGTCGTCTTTAATTTTTTTATCAGTACCTTATAGTTCAGTGAACAAATCTTTCATGTCCTTAAATTTATCCTTAAGTGTTTTTATAGTATTATAAATTGGATGATTCTCTTTATTTCTTTTTCAAATAGGTTATTGTTAACGTATTCAAACACTACTGACTTGGTATATCGATTTTGTATCCTACAATTTTACTAAATTCTTTTGTTAGTCTCTACAGGGAATTTTTTGTAATTGTGTGTTTTGATTTCTTTCTCTTAATCTTTTATATATCTGCCACATATTTTTTCTTTGTGGTTACTATAAGGCTTACATGAAAGATCTTATAGTTTATGACAGTATATTTTAAGCTGGTAACATTTTAACTTCAACCACATAAAAAAACTGTACACTTTAAATTCTCCTTCTCCCTATTTTTTTCTTATAGCTGTCACAATTTATGTCTTTATATATTAAGCATATCCATTAACAAACTACTATAGTTAAAATTATATTTAATATCTTAACATTCTTACTAGAGTTAAAAATGGTTTATGGACCACCATCACAGTTGTATAGTGTTCTGAATTTGACTATTTATTTATTTTTACAATGAGTTTTTTACTTTCATTTATTCTCATGTTGTTAGTTAGCATCTTTTCATTTAAACTTGAAGAACTCCCTTTAGCATTTCTTGTAATGCAGGTATAGTGGTGATGAATTTTCACAGGTTCTTTTAATCTGGGAAAGTTTTTACCATTCCTTCATTTCTGAAAGACAGTCTTGTTGGGCATAGTATTCTTGATTGGCATGGCTTTTTTTCCTTTTAAATATATATAAATTTATGAGATATCAGTGCAATTTTGTTAATGTACATGGTACCCATTAAGTAACCTCTTGAGTCTTCATCCTACTTTGTCACCCTTCCAAGTCTCCATTGTCTATCATTCCACCCTCTATATCCACATATACATGTTATTTAGCTCCCACTTATGAGTTGGCAAATTTTTTTCTTTAGTAATTTAAAGTCATCATACTACACTCTCCTGGCCTGTAAAAAAATTTCTGCTGGCAAATCTATTTATACAGTCTTATGATAATTCCCTTGTATATGGTGAATTGCTGTTCTCTTGCTGCTTTCAAAATTCTCCTTTTGTCTTTGATTTTAAAGAATTCCATTATAATGTATCTCAGAAAAGAACTGTTTATATTTAATCTTTTTGGGGTCCTTGGGATTCAGGAATATTGGTATTCATTTCCCTCTTCAGATGTGAAAATTTTTCTGTCATTGTTTATTTAATGACAAAAATATTTCCTTCTTTTTATTCTTCTCTTTGCTCCCTCAGTGGCTCCCATAATGTGTCTGTTGGTTGCTTGATGGTGCCCCGTAAGTCCAATAAGCTTTCTTCACCCTTTTTTATTTACTTTTTTATGCTTCTCTAATTGAAAAAATTCAAGTAACCTCTCTTCAAGTTCATTGATTCTTTTTACTTTTGCTTGATTAAGCCTGTTGTTGAAGCTCTCTATGGAATGTTTCAGTTTAGCCATTGAGATTTTTAGCTCCAGAATTTCTTTTTGCTTCTTTATGGTTGCTATTTCTTTGTTCAACTTTGCATCTTGTTTGTGCATTGTTTTCCTGATATCATGTAGTATCTATCTGTGTTCTCCTGCAGCTGCTTTAGCTCTTTATTTTATTTTTTATTAATTTTTTATTTTATTTTTCAGACAGTCTCCCTCTGTCACCCAGGCTGGAGTACAGTGCAGTGGCACAATCTCAGCTCACTGCAACCTCCACCTCCTGGATTCAAGTGATTCTCTTGCCTCAGCCTCCCAAGAAGCTGGGATTACAGGCGCCCACCACTACACCTGGCTGATTTTCGTATTTTTAGTAGAGATGGAATTTTGCCATGTTGGCCAGGCTGGTCTTGAACTCCTGACCTCAGGCGATCCACCTGCCTTGGCCTCTTAAAGTTCTGGGATTACAAGCATGAGCCACTGCGCCCAGCCTTGCTTTAGCTTTTTAAAGATGATTGTTTTGAATTTTATCAGGCAGCTCATAGATCTTCATTTTTTTAGAATTGGTCACTGATATGGTTTAGACCTGTGTCCCTGCCCTAATCTCATGTCCAGTTGTAATTCTCAATGTTGGAAGTTAGGCCTGGTGGGAGGTGATTGGATCATGGGGGCAGTTTCTCATGAATCATTTAGCACCATCCCTCTTGGTACTGTCCTCACCATTGTTAGTAAGTTCTCATGAGATCTGGTCACTTAAAAGTGTGTGACACCTCCACCCTCTCTCTCACTCTCTCCTGATCCTGTTTCTGCCATGTGAGATGTCTCATTCTCCCTTTGCCTTCTACCGTGATTGGAAGCTTCCTGAGGCCTCCCCAAAAGCAGAAGCCACTATGCTTCTTATGCAGCCTATAGAACCATGAGTCAATTAAGGCTCTTTTCTTTATAAATTACCCAGTCTCTCGTATTTCTCTAAAGCATTGTCAGAATGGCCAAATATAGTTATCCATGCTTTATTGTGTTCCTTTGGTGGTGTCATGTTTCCCTGATTTTTAGTGATCCGTATAGTCATGTGTTGATGTCTGCACATTTGATATAGGCACCTATTCAAGTCTTAACAGACTTGCTTCAGCAAGAAAAGTCAGCTTATCCAGAGATTCTGGGCGGACATTGTGGCAGAACCTGCAGACAGGCTTGATACTGGAGTCCTTGGGTAGGTTGACCTGGTGTCTGAATCAGCAAATGGGCAGGCCTAGTGTCTGAGTCCACTGGGTCTTGCCTGATGCCTGGGTCTTCAGGGTTGGGCCTATAGCCTATTTCCACCAGACACTCCTGGAGTTTTAGAGTTTGAGTCTGCCAGGATGGCTCCTGTGGAGACAGGAGCCTCCCTGGATCCGGAGTCTGCTGGTGTGGATCTGTCCACTGGGTCTGCAGGGATGGTCTTAGAGCCCAGATCCATAGGGGCCAAACTAGCACTGGAGTAGGCCTTGATCCTGAATTCATGAAGGCCAGACTAGAGGCTGGCTCTGTAAGTGTTAACCTGGAGCTCAGGACCATGGGGGTGATACTGGAGTCTGGGTTTTTAGGGGCTGGCTCAATGCCAGGGTCTATTGGTACAGGCCTGAAACCTGGATCTGCTGGAGCATGGAACCACAGGAACTTGCCTGGAGCCTGGGGCTACAGGCGCCAACCTAGCACTAGGTGGGCCTAGAGTGTGCATCCACAGGGGCCAGATTACAGCTGGAGTTTGGGGCTAGAGGAAATCACATGGTGTTGAGCTGGTCTGGAGCCTGAGGTGGGCCTGAAGACTTTGGCAGCTGGGGCTGGGCTCTGGACTGGTGTTAGGGTAGACTCAGAGTATGTTGTCACAGAGGCTGTCCTGGATTCTGGGTTCAGTCTGGAGCCTTGGGTGAGCCTGAGTCCTGGGTCCAAACTCCAGAATCCCAAACTCTTGGATCCTCAGTCGAAACCTCAAACTCCAGGGGTTTTGGGGGATGTAGCTTTCTACTGCATCTGCAGGGGAAGGCCTAGCAGGGGCGTCCAGGGGAGAGAATACAGTCATGGGTTCTTAGTTTCTGTTACTGGTTGGGCCAGCAAAGCCCTTTCCTCATGTCTCTTTTCTGTTTATCACTAGAGACAAACTAAAAACTATGGCTTCGTGCTGCTAAAAGTTTAAAACAAAACAAAACAGAACAACAACAAAATAAGGCTGGTCGGACAATCTCGGCTAGAGCCTAGGTCTTTGTGGGGGTCAGATTAGATCTTGGCACTGTAGGGGCTTACCTGGTGCTGAAGCTGATCTGGAGCCTGGAACCAAGGGTGCCTAACTGGGGACTCAGACTGCAAGGCCTGCCTCAAGCCTGGGGCAGGCTTGAAGTACACAGGGCCCACCATGAGATGTGGCATCAGAACAGGCCTGCATCTGAAGGTGCCAGTCTGGAGCCTGGGGTTGTGGGGGCCAGTCTGGAACCAGGTTTCAAAGGGTAGGCCTGGTTCTGGGGTCCACAGCAAAGTCAGATGCTCGCTTCTCTCTCCTTCCCAAACTCAGAGTGTCTATCTCTCTGTACTGTGCTAACTAGGTTTAGGGGAGGAGGAATGTGAAACTGCCCTTTCCACAATGTGAAACTATCCTTTCCATCCTTCAATATATCTTTTAAAAAATTTCTATAATACACCTAAGTGCTACAATCTCTCACCTGGATGCCTCAGCTCTTGTGAAGGTATTTTTGTGCATGGATAGTTGTTAAAATTGATGGTTCTGTGAGGGGACCAGCAATGGAAAGTCCTATTCTGCCATTTTGCTGATGTCACTACAGCCTGGCCTTCATTTTTTTAGAATTCTGAGGGTCAGGGTTACCTGAAAAAATCTTGTATCTATTTAAAATCTTAGACTTTCGTACTAGTTATTTCTATCTAAAAAATAGAATTGGTTTACCTTATATCTTTTTAACATGTTAAACATTTTCAAAAGTCAGTATAAGTGCCAGAATAGTGCATCTTACATGTGTCAGATTTACTCACTCCACAAAAATAATACTGTGTACTCTTGTGAGCCAGGTGCTCTTCCAGGTGTTGAGAATAAACAAAATCGACAAACAAGTAAGAATCCTTGCCCCAAGGTACCTTACATTTGAGAGGTAAGGGACATGAAATAAATAATATACTTGCAAATATGTAGACTGAATATTAAAAAGTGAAAAATAAATCAAGTTAAAGGTGACAAGAAATGCCAAAACTCAGGGGTAGAGTGAGAACAAAATGTTATATTTTGAGATACAATGATCACTGATAGGTTAAAAAAAATGGTTGTATGATTTCCGTAGTTTTGCTCCTTATATATAAACACTTCTACATTAAAAACTCCAAAGAAAAACCTAACTCTAAGCTCCATTTCCTTGAGCTTATGGCACATTGTCTTTCCTTTCCTTCAATGTCAGGTTTTATAAATACAAATCCACATACAGTCCATGTCTATTTCCTCACTTCCCATTCCCTCTTGCAATGTGATTATCCCCATCTCACCAAGGAAACTGCTCCAGCAAGATTATCACTGGCCTCCCAAGGCCTGACTGCCTGACAAGAGCTTTGTGGTTCTTGTCACCACTGATCACTCCCCACTGAAATTCTCTCTTATGACTCCCATACATGTTCTCTTACTTCTCCATCCCTGCTGACCTGTTTTCTCACATTTCTTTACAGATTCTTCACCCACTAGTGCCATACCATGGGCTTTTTAGAGCTGAGCAAGGATTAAAGTACTGCTAAATTAAAAAATGGAAGGCCTTATTAACAGGGAAGACAGACATCAGTTTTCTCTACAGACAAATTAAAAATTTTCCTCAGAGTAATACACAGAAGAAAGAGGATTTATCTGCATAGCTCCTCACACCTCCCAGTCTTCATTCATCAAAATGCTGAGGGTACTGATCTTGAACTGCTTGGTGGCATCATCCAGCCTTTAATAGGCCACCTTAGTCATTTGTCATCTATTCCATCTTTGATGCTGCAATCAGAGTGTTCTTTCTCAAATAGAACTACAGCATTGTTCTCCCTGCATAAAATCCTTCAGAGACTTGATTGCTAGTGTCAATATTGCCTGACCTGTGGTCCAGTTCAAGGCATTTCCTGACATGCACATTTTGCTCCAGCCAAGTTTTTTAAGGGTGGAGATGTTGTGTAGAATCTAAGGTCTAGATCAGGGGTCAGTAAATCTGGCCCACTGCCAAAAAAAAAAAAAAAGAAAAAAAAAAAGATACAGGGTCTCAACCATATGTTGCCCAGGCTGGACTCAGACTTATGGACTCAAGCAATCCTCCAGCACCCCACTACCTTTTTATGTGTAGCCTTTGAACTAAGAATAATTTTTACATTTTAATGGATTTTTTAAAAATTCACAGAAAAGCCCTAAGGGGTCTGAACAGCCTAAAGTAATACTATCTGTTTTTTTGTTTGTTTGTTTTGGGTTTTTTTTTCTTTTTGCTTTTTTGTTTTTTTTGGTTTTTTACAGAAAAAGCTTGCCAACTTCTGTTCTATCTTACTTTGCTCTGCACCGCTGGGGCAGTCAGGGACCAATTTCCCTAAAAGCAAGTACAGCAAGCCCTCCAGGGCCTGGCACTGCTGGGCCTGCAGTGTCATCTCCTGTCCCTGTCAATTCCTGCCCTGTGCTCTTACCTTGAGCTTGTCCTATTCTTTTGCATTCCATGCCTTTGCCCATACTTTCCACCCTATGTAGGAGGAATGCACATTCCCTAACCCCACTTTGTCTGAAAAACTCCTACTCGGAATTTAAAACGATGTATTACCTTCTCTGTGAACTAACTCTGGCCTCCCACACCATATCCAAAACAGAGCTACAGCTCTTTTATTTCTATCTGTAACTGTTTCTCCTACTGAAATCTGAATTTTTGAGTTCAAAATAATACTAATAATAGTTAACACTTAGCATGTGACAAGATGATTCAATATAATTTACATAAATTAACTCATTTTATAATCACAACTTATGAGAGAAGTACTTCTATTATGCCCAGTTTACAGGTGAAAAGAACAAAAATAAAACCAGAAGTACACAGATGTTAAGTCAGTTGCCCAAGGTCACAGGAGTTTAAATCCAGCCATTCTAGATCCAAAGTCCGCACTCAATCATTCTGCCATTCTCCTACTCAATAGTAGCTGAATAATAAAATAAGGAGATTATGAGTAAAGCTGGATTGAAAAACAGCTTGCTAGTGAAGTCTGAAATGGGCTTTCTATGCTTTGTTAAATTAACCTGCATCATACTCAGAAAGAGGTGCTATTAGTAAGGCCTGTTCTAAACGGCTTACGGGGCTCACCCTCAGGCCAGGAGGGAGTGAAGATGCAGAGAGCCTGCAAACAGGCAAATCAGGACAGGGTAAGAAGGGAAAGATGGAATTTCTTTTTTTTAAGATCAGTGTAAACATACAATGATGGAGACGTGTCTGATAGATAAATATAGTTTTATTAATAAATAAAAATTAAGGGAATGTGATAATAACTGCAACTTATGGTTGGAAAAGATCTAAGTTCATAGCTAGAAGTCTTCTATATTATTTTGAGAATTGATGCTATATAATTACTCCAATCACTGACAATTCGCTACCCACCACCCACACCCCAAGGCATTCTATTGCAATTTCAAATGGCACAAAGTGTTAGAAAGTTATTTACATTGCACTGGTATCTGGCTCTCATTTCGTTTACTCATTTGTACGGTTCTATGGAGACAAAGATAAGATATCTGATCAACTCTTTAATGTGAGAGTTCAAGATATTAAAGTCAGTCCTAAATTTATTCTGACCTACACTAAAATGTCCCCATTTTCCGCATCGTAAGCCATGATTTCTGGCTTTCTCACTGTCCAGTCATTTTCCTCTGGGCCTGAACTCATCTGCCAATGTATCTTTTCTACTCTGTGCTATTCAAAACTTGAGACAATACTGTAGTTTCAAGGTCTTAACAGTGCTGAGAAGTCTATTACTTCTGCATTAAAGAAGATAGTATTACCTTAACACAACTTATTATCTTATTTTGAAGGATATTATTCATTCATATTAAGCTTCTGGTTTATTAAAAACCCTTAAGGTGTGTGTGTGTGTTATCTTTTTTTTTTGTCTTTGGTCTGTCTGTGTTTCTATTTATTTTTTAATAATGTTACTGTTCAGCTGTGACTTACCCAACCTCTAAATGTCAATTATCTGGGGCCTTTTTCAAGAAGCTTATATAGAAAACTACAGATTTACCTGAAATAATTTTATTTTACTATACTAACTCACTATTTCAGCCTGTTGAAGGTCATTTAAATTTCTGATTCTATCATATTGGTCATTCCTCCAGCTTCATTTCTCCATTTGTTTATAAACACACGATGAATATGCTAATAAATCATTCATTTTCTCATCACAGCTGATGCCTGCTGAAACCTTTCTTTAATCAAGTTTGTGCAACTCTAGAAACCTAAAAGTTAAGAAATTGTATTTCTTATAAAGAATTCCTAAGGGCCTTAGGTGTCTGACTTTTTAGACTGGCCCCCACCCAATTAGTGTAACTTATTGAAGCTCTTCAGTAGCTATATTAATGCAATTTGTGAGCAATCTGTAAAGTGATTTTCCATTGCGTCTGGCACTGACAGTTCGCAGAGAGTGTATTTCACTTTCAAATGGTCTGGTGACAGTTGATAACTGTCATTTAGTCAGACCCTGACTGCATCCCTTGTCTTACAATGAGAGAAGCTCAAAAATGAGGCAATGGAATTGGCCAACAGACTCTTGGATGTATCCAGAGATAATGAACAGATTATTTAACCTAAGTGTTACTCCTGATATCACTGAGAGTATTAGTCTGATGTATCATTCACTAAAATATGTTAAATATTTTGAAAATCCTGCTTTCTATTCATAATTTAACCTATATGTTCATTACTTTGACTTTTTTTAGATCTCCTAAACATATACCAGCTAATCTAGTGGGGAGAGAGCATTTTTCATCCTGTAATAATCATTTTAAACCTACTCTCACAAAGATGAGGAGAGTGTGACAATTCTGAAGGGGCTGGCAGAGGTATACATAGCCAAGTTTATAAAATGTTAGTGAAAAATTGATACATCAGTTATTAGTAATTATTTTAAGAATCAATAAATTTTTTAGCACAACTTACAGCATATAAGAGAACTTGAGGAAGGCACTATAAATAATAAATAAATAAAACATTCCCTACACTCCAAAAGTTCCCAAACTATGAAAACAAAGAAGAGATAAATACTCAGAAAGTTAATGGTGAAAGAAAATACAATCAATATGGGAATACATCATCTTTGGCACAAAATTAATGGCCAAAGAAGACTCATAGAGGGTTAATGTTATGAGTTGAGGAGACTGAGTTTGATCAATATGGCAAGACATGTGAGAAGACTGTTATAGGAGAGAAATTATTTGAGCAAGTTTTAGGGGGCAGATGAACTTCATGAAATGATAAATTATGTGAGTGAGGACTAATAGAAACTGATCATTTATTTTCTCCAACATTCATTCCTTTATCAACCAATAAATTATTGACTAGAATTGAACAGACATTTACTCAGCTGTGGTAACAACAAAAGGCCAAGAAGAAATACTCTGTCCTCTAAAGAGAGTAAAACCCCACAGAAAAGAGCAAAGAAATACATATGTAAAAGACATACAAATAGAATCAAAGATGAAATAATGATTACATAAAAATCTGTATGTTAGTATGGAACCCATAATATCAGTGCTGGACTTAATGTCATGGTTAATCCAGGTAAGGTTATACTTTATATATTGAGGTTTTACTTGAAATAGTTACATTTAAATTATTCTCAAGATTGGATTGTATGTTATCCAATTTTAAATTATTGGAACCAGGTTCTTGCATGATTGTTCATGATTGTTGCTTCATTATCTTTTTCTCAAGAATGGAGAATTTCTCATCATTGTTCTTCTGCCTAGATGTGCTTATAAAGCCTTTGTTTCACAGAAACTATATTATGGGCTGTGACCCGTTATGTTCTGTGTTTCAAGAATTCTGATTGTTATTCAAGGGTCTCTTTAACATTCTGTATAATGAAGAAGAGTATTACTCTTTAATCATTGCTTGATGGATTATAATCAGCATGTCTAGACAAAGTGAGTTCATGTTTTTCTCCCAGGAAAATTAGCAAACAACAATTATGCAGCTTGTCCATTTTTTTGCAAGGGAAGCTTCCAGAGTTTCAGTAGCTCAAGCTTTTAGAAGATGACAAATTTTCTGACTTTAAACAGCTTCAAGGTAGCCTATATGCGGGTACAAAGTCATTACTACCAATGAGGCTGCTACCTTAAATTTCCTATAGTCTTTTGTATTTTTCTATTAATAGGAAGAATATCTGGTGTTTAAAAACCTGGGGAATCACCTATTTATGCTGGATGAGCTGCTTCTTTAAGATATTCTTATTTTTTTCCTAGTATTTAGCTTCACTAATGTACTTAAGGCAGACCAGTGAGATCATTGGGAAAAAAAAAAGTGGTGAATGAATTTTGTCTATACTGAGCTTAGAAATCAATTATTCCTTCTTTTTTTCATGTGATTAAGATGTGTATGTTTTTGCTAGGATAGTGTGGTTATTATCTGTCTTCTGTAATAGTTCAAGGTTCCCAAGATCTCATGTTCTAAGAGAAAACACAACCATATTAATAAAAAAACTTATGATCCAATGCAGTAGAAGTTATAATAAAAATGTTAATGTTACAATATCTCTGACTGGGACAGTTAGGAGGGACTTCACAGAGAACAAGACATTTCAAGTGAGCTTTAAAGAGTGAGGAGCTGTTCACCAGGTAAAGAAGAGGAAAAAGGCATACCTAAAAACAAGGTAAAAGCATACGAAGCCAATAAGAAATGGCAAACCTTGGCCTATTCAGAAAGAAACTAGTATTCTGGTGGGTCCAAACATGTCCTGCTAAAGAACTTAGAATTTATGCTGTAAGTATAGAGAAGCCAATAAAGGTTTCCGGAAACTAGGTATGATGGAGAAGTATACATAGAAAAATCAGGAAAAATAGATGGGATAGACAAAAGCACTTATATGCATATTGATATTTTAACTTTTTACAAAAACGTAATGAATGTTTATGTCATACTTGATCTTCTTTTATAGTCTTTCACCTTGATTCACGTGACTGATGAAAGATAGATCTTGAAACAAACTGAAAGATCATTTGTTTTAATACACTCATCTCCCAAATAAAGAAGCTAAAATAACAAACCATTCCAAAATTTAGTGGTTTTCAACAATCAGCATTTGTTTAACTCATGAATTTGTGGGTTGGCAGTTCTGCTCTGAATGTTGATTTCGCTGGTTCACTCATGCCTCTATGTTCAGGTGTCAGGATGATGGGGCTGTGGGTCTAAGACCAGCAGCTGACACTACAGCTTATCTCAAATACACATGGGATCTCCAGCAGGTCAGCCCTTAGGTTTGTGGCTGGGCTTCATGAAAGACAGAGGAAATGTGCAAGGCCTTCTGGGTCCCAGACTTGAAACCAGTGCAACCTTGCTTCTCCTATTCCATTGGTCAAACAAGTGACAAGGCCAGCTCAGATTCAAGGGCTGAAGAAATAGCCTTCACCTCCCATCCCTGGATAGGAGGAGATACAAAGAACTATGACTTTTTTTTCAATCTGCCTGCCGAACAGAAGCTTCATGACCAGCAGTGCCGTTTTTACTTCTAAGCAACTTATTTGTCAGTCTATCCATTGATAAAACTAAAAATTAACTTTCTTAGTTTAAACTGAGTTATAGCCCTCTATTTTTTTCTGTCCCTCACATAGCTATTCATATCCCTTTTCTCACACACTTTTAAAAAATAGCACACATAAATTAGTAAGAATCTTTGTTTTCATGAATCATTATGCACTGCTATTAATCATTGTGCAGCCTTCACAAAGGTTTTCGGAAGAAAATATGTTACTAAACATTTTCTGTGTTTCATCCAAGCCTGGTCAATTAATTTATTGTACACCTGAAATCTGATTTCAACAGAGGTGAAGAAAAATCTTTGGATCTCTCTGTAACCACCCAAACACAGCTCTTCAGTTTCCAAGGGTGCTCATTTGCAAACGCAAGTAAGGGCATAAAAATAGGAATGCAAATATATTCTTCTTTTTTTAAAACAGATTTGGCTCACTTTAGTATATTTTTGGAAAACTTTGTTCACTTCATCTTCTTGGCATTTCATTATACTTTACGATCTCAAAGTCAACTCTCCTGCAACAAAGCGAAACATGGTTCTTTTGAAATAAATGTTGTCATTAACAAGCCATGCCAGGCACAGTGACAGCTTTGCAGCTGTAATGAATAACATTTCCCGCAAAGTTCTTCTGTCTGACAGAAAAGCTGTGACATTACTGCAGGCAACAGTGCTGAAAACTAAAAGATTGATTGATGCAAGTGGATAATTGAAACCTCAGTACTGTCATATGCATGTCAGCCTAACAACCAAACTACTACTCTAATATTTATCATGATACAGCCTATGAATAAAAAAAAAACACATGTTGAAAAACGTAGACTATATCCCATTAAACATGATTTAGAGGATGCCATCGTAGATGAGTCCATCAATAGCAATAAATTACACAGTGCTCAAACTTGCTCTAAAACTTACATGTTAGTTGAAAGTACATTTCTGCAAAGAAATCTAGTCAAAGTAGGCATTTAACTATCCTTTAATAGCAAAGTGGAGGATCCATTTCCTAGTTCATCTGTGACTAACATTGCAATAAACCAGCTTTTAGGCAGCTGAATTTGAAAGAGAAAACATGATTAGAACCTTGCTAAAACTTTCTTTTCAGGCTGTATTTCCCTATGTCTATCAATTTATACCAGTTTTCTCCTTACATACCTGTAGTTCTGTATTTATACAGAGAGCATATAGAGCACATATATGTTCTTATAGAGAGAAATTATATAAAGAAAAGTAGAACTTATATTTTTTTCCACGGTAACTGCTTCACATTCGATAGTTTAGAGGAAGAAATGGCATAGCTATAGAGAGGCAAAGACTATAACCTGTGAATTATCTATTTATATGGAAAAGAGAGGAACCCTGAAATTAGGCCTCAGCTTTTCAGTAACTTTTGAATACTTGAACATTTGTGCCAACCCTCTGGGTTTAAGTTTCCACATATATAAAAGGATTACAGCAGTGATTAGGATGACCTACTTGTCCTGGTGTGCCCAGGATGTTCCGAGTTTTAAAACTGAAAGCCTCTGAGGAAACCCCTCAGTCCCAGGAAAGCAAGAACAGTTGGTCATTCTAGAAGTGACTAATGTATTGCGTGTCATGGATTCTTAAGCCAGTAATGGAAAGTGTGGACCCTCCCTTCAGAAAAATACACATATACAAAATGTTCCACAACATTTTAGAAGGTCATTGTTCCATTTAGTTTATGAATTCTGGGTTAATAACCAATCTACTGGATTATCATCCCAGCTCTTTCCAGCTCACAGCGTAGTTATAATTAGTAAGGGAATCTTCTGTACATGTTGCCAATGTTAAGCTTGTGTTGTGCTGAATAAGTGAAAGGGTTGGGGGTAATGAGTTTTGTCACCCCAGGGTTTTATAATTCCAATAACATACAGAGCAAAGAAAGTGACTTTTTTTTCTAGTGAGTATAGTAGAAAAAATATGGACAAAAGATAATAAAATGGCCTTCAAAATATTTTAATCAAATTTGCCTGACAGGTTTTGTCATACCGTGAATGTCAAACACTTTCCAACCTTTTCCCTAAATGTCTAATTTACTGTTACACTGTCCATCAATGTCTGCATTCCCTAAAACCTTTTTCTTCTTTGTTCAATTATGTTCTCTTTTTTTGCATTTTTTTTTTTACTTTTTTTCCTAAGATGATTTTATGTGTCTAGATCTTTCCTCCAAAATACCCTGTTTTGTTTTTCTAGCATCAACTGGGTCACATTTTTATCGTCTCATGTATGTCTCTTTTCTTTTGCTCTAACTTTGCAAGAAGATTATATTATTTCCAGCACTGTGGAAGGGTCTCACCGTTGGTGTTGCTACCTGAGAATTCAGATTAAGCACACAGTTCTGTAATTATTTTTACTGGAAGCCTAATTTTAAATGTTTACTTAGATGCTTTCTTACCCATAACCACAAGGACTTAGGTGAAGTCCCAATTCTTAAGCACCAGGCCCTTTCCATCTCCCACTATTCTTCTACATTTCCCTGCTCAATCACAGTTCCAAATTCAGTGTGTATCTACTTCCACATCTCTTATCCTGCTGTTCTCATATATCGGTTCTATAAATACTTCATGGCCTTTAAGTTTGAACTTTTGTGTAGTTTGTTCATTTAATAAATATTTATTGAGCACCTATGTGCCAGCTACTGCTATAGAGAAAATCAGAAGAAAGAGATCATGTCTTTACAGAGTTTTTTATTCCAGCTGGGGAGAGACTGAGCAAACAGGGGACATGGTAAAGAGGTAAATTCCACGGCAATTTTAGAATATGACAGGTACTATGGGAGAAAAAAGAAAAGAAACAGAGGTGAATAAGAGGAATTGATAATGTCAGGAAGGCAAGATGACAGTTTTGATTATCAATTAGATAAATAATTTAATTATATGCAACGGTGAGGTAGGCCTCCATGAAGAGTGAACCTTTGAACAGAACCAAGTAGGTGAAGCCACGGAGACATCTCTATATAGATTTGTGGAGTTTGTTGGCTTCCAGAGGTTAGAACTTGTGTATGTTTGCGCTGTGCGTTCTGGGTAAGCGGGGATGGTTAAATGAACAGCTTTTCTAGGCTGGTTTTCAAGTTCTCATCTAGCAGCAACTCTCACTTTCTCATGGTTAGGCTGCACCCACACCGGAGCACTTGCTCTTCCCAGACGGCACCAAGCTCTTGCTGGCCCCTAGGCTTCCCAATACGTTGCCAACTCTACCCTACTCACTCCTGCATCCACTGGACTCATATGGTGCCACACATGCTGAAGACCTCTAGGGACAGCCCATCTTTTCCATCCTTTTCACTCCTCCATCCTCTACCCATACCTCCGTAGCTCCCTTCATATGCCTTTATGTAGAAATTCATCACACTTTTTAAATTAAATTCTTATTTGTCTGAATCATGGGGGTGGAGAAAGTGTTTTTGTCTTTGCATCTCTAACCATGATGCTAGATAAATATCTACTGAGGAAATGATTTGCTGAGCACATTTAATCGGCATTTATGTTTACAGATGTAAAGAATAAGACCCCAAAAAGCTATGGGACCTACTCAGATCAAGCAGATAGTTAAGAGTAGAGGCAGTCTAATCTAGAAGCTAAAACATGATAAAATCAACAACTTAGAAAAAAGAATATCTGCAGCATGTCATTTTGTTGTGTACAGAATGAATTGCTCTGCCAGCTAAAATTGTGTAGCTATGTAGTAAAAGATGCTACTCAAATAAACCAAGTACTTATGGATATCATTCTCATTAACTACTTTGATAAAAAGCACCTACCAGAGTGCTAGGGGAACGTGATATTATGTCCGGAATTGGTGGGTTCTTGGTCTCACTGACTTCAAGAATGAAGCCGTGGACCCTCGCGGTGAGTGTTACAGTTCTTAAAGACGGTGTGTCCGGAGTTTGTTCCTTTTGATGTTCGGACCTGTTTGGAGTTTCTTCCTTCTGGTGGCTTCGTGGTCTCACTAGCTTCAGGTGTGAAGCTGCAGACCTTCGCGTTGAGTGTTACAGCTCTTAAGGTGGCGCGTCTGGGGTTGTTCGTTCCTCCCTACGGAGTTGTTCATTCCTCCTCCCAGTGGGTTCGTGGTCTCGCTGGCCTCAGGAGTGAAGCTGCAGACATTCCCAGTGGATGTTACAGCTCATAAACGCAGTGCAGGCCCAAAGAGTGAGCAGCAGCAAGATTTATTGCAAAGAGCAAAAGAACAGAGCTTCCACAGTGTAGAAGACCTGACCAGGTTGCCACTGCTGGCTCGGGCAGCCTGCTTTTATTCCCTTATCTGGCCCCACCCACATCCTGCTCATTGGTCCATTTTACAGAGAGCCGATTGGTCCATTAAGAATCTTTCCCCCAGATATTCCACTTTTTTTTTTTTTTTTTTTGGATATGGAGTCTCACTCTGTCGCCCAGGCTGGAGTGCAGTGGCGCAATCTCAGCTCACTGTAATCTCTGCCTTCCAGGTTCAAGTGAATTTTTTGCCTCAGTCTTCTGAGTAGATGGAATTACAGGCACCTACCACTATGCCCGGCTAATTTTTGTATTTTTAGTAGAGACAGGGTTTCACCATGTTGGCCAGGCTGGTCTCAAATTCCTTACCTCAAGTGATCCGTCCACCTCGGCCTCCCAAAGTGCTGAGATTAGGGGCGTGAGCCACTGGGCCCAGACAAATAGCAGCATATTTTGAAACGATATACAAATTTTCAGCCTAAAGTTGAAGCTTTGTGTCTCAGGGACTGTATACACTTCTGTGTATATGTGTAGAGTAAGGAGATGTTCTTACCTGTCACTGCTATGCCCTGTGGGGCAATTTCTGCCCTCTGTAGTCAAAGTCCAGCCCTATACCCTGACCTGACAATTGATCTGAAATTTGCTCCTTATTTGCTTTATGTTAGCTCTCATTTCCCTTGAGGTCTTGCTCTGCCCCTTGTCTTTGACAGGAATTTCTGAACAACTTTATTTTTGCATCAGACAAATCTATAACCTCCATTTTTACATCTTTAAAGCTGCCATAAAGCTTACCATTCCAGAAGATGCCATCTTGATTCTCAATTCCCCATGTATACCAAACTGAAACTGCTGTACTCCTGCTTTGAGTCAGTCTCTGGTTATAGCCACCTCCCAGCTAAGTCAAAGGTCATTAACTCCCAATAGCACATAATTCAGTCTCACTCTGTTTGTTAACATGTCAACAACTATAGTGAATCCCAGCTCCTCATCTGCTCTGGCCTGCTTTATAAACTTTGCCAACTTGTCTTAATGGAGAACTGCCCCTTCTTCAAGTGCAGCATCCCTTTCCAATTCATGACATAAATTTCTTAGGTAGTATATTACCCCATTTTCACACTGCTATAAAGAAATGCCTAAGACTGGGTAATTTATAAAGGAAAGAGGTTTAATTGACTCACCATTTTGCATGGCTGGGGAAGCCTCAGGAAACTTAAAATCATGGTGAAAGGGGAAGCAGGCACTTTCTTCACAAGGCAGCAGGGGAAAAAGAAGAACAATGGAGGAACTTCTAAACACTTATAAAACCACCAGATCTCATGAGAACTCACTCTCACAAGAACAGCATGGGGAGACCACATCCATGATTCAATCACCTCCCTCCCTTGACACGTGGGGATTACAATTCAAGATGAGATTTGGGGTGGGGACACAGAACCAAACCATATCAGGTAGGCAAGCAAAACTAAGTCATTAATTTAATTTGTAAAAAATTTATTGAATGCTGGATGGTAACTCAAAAAACTGAAGGAATAGCTGAACAATAGCTTTCAAATAAACAGGAACCAGACAGCTTCTGGGTATCTGACTTCTGGATATTATGGATTATCTCTTCAAGGCACCACTGTCAGGATTAATCAATAACATAGGCAGAATAATACTCCCAACCCCTCAGAATAGCTATAATCTAATTCCTGGAACCTGTGAATATGTTATTTTCTATGGCAAAAGGGATTTTGCAGATGTCATTAAGAGTATGAACCTTTAGACAGAAAGATACTCCAGGATATCTTAGCAGGTCCCATGTAATCACAAGAGTCCTTAAAAGCAGTGAGCTTTTCTGGCTGTGTTAGAAAGAGAGAGATGTGATGATAGAAAAGCTTCCCAGGGATTTGATGTTGTTGGCTTTGAAGATGAAGAAGTGGGTCAAGAGCCAAGAAATGCAGGCAGCCTTTAGAAGCGAGAATGGGCGAGGAAGAAAATTCTCACCTAGGGTCTCCAGAAAGGAATACAGCCCTGCTGATACCTTGGTTTTAGCTCAGTGAGACCTGTGTTGGATTTCTGACCTACACAACTGTAAAATAATATATTTGTGTTGTTTTAAGCCATTAAATGTATGTTAATGTATTATAGCAGCAATAGAAAATGAATACAATCAGCTCCAGAAGAATGTCTTTAAAATAAAATCAAGTCCCGCACCATTCACCATTCACTTCCTACTGGAAACAAATAAATAATAAATCAGAAGACCATGCTCATTCAGAATTTGAAAGGAATGTAAATCACATTTGGAAGTTCTCCTATGACCTGTTTACACCCTGTGTAGAAACATAGCCTATTTGTCTATGCTGCCACCTTTTTTGACATAGCAGATATTATGGTGCTGAAAATGTCGTGTAGAATGGAATTATTTATGGCACTTATATTAAGCTCTGAGAAAAGAATTACAGCATAGGCCTCTTGAGTTTTAGAATGAAACAATGTCCCCCTTGGCAAATACCTATTTCTTCTGGAAAACAGTTCTTGACTTTCCCTAGAGTCTGACGGGTACTGAACACAGGCCACCATGGATTGCTCGGTGATCATGCATTTGAGTCATCCATAAATTAAGTGCTATCAGTTCTGCATTATCATTCAGTTGAACAAGTCCAGATATATATGAGGCAGGTCTGAGGAGGCTCTGAAGGCCTAACAAAATGCAAGAGCAAGTGGTTCCCACTCTTAGCAACTGTACTCTAGACACACTTTCATTCCCCTTAACAATATCTGTGGCCTCAGGGAGGGTACTCTACAGGAATTAACAGGGAAAGGTGATTCTCAACAAAATGCTGGAACCAAGCAGAAGTTCAATTTGGCAGGGTAAATTTCTCACTCTGGAGATTCTTTGAAAATCAGTGGACAAAGCAGCATGATTGGAGGGTTGATGATAATACTTGAAGAACGAATTTATAGGTGAGCCTCTTACAATGGACCCAGAGTTTGATATATTTGTATCCCATGTGAAGGTATATAAAACCAAAAGTCCCTCACTGCTGAAAAGGCCCTTAAACAGCAAGGTGGGAAAGATAGCCTGTCTCTGGATTGTATCCCATCCCTGTTTCCAGGTGACGTAGGATTTTCTCAAGGGTCTCATAAAAACAGTGGCTATGTGTGTGATAGTAGCTTGGCATGGGCTTAGCAACACTGACTTTACTGAGGCTGACCTGACTTTACTTCTGACAAACAAATATTCCAGAAGCAGTAAGCGGCCATGAGCCAGCCTCCACACAGTATATTTTGAGAAGTCCACACAGTGTCCATTGACTTAGTATACTGTACCTTTTCTGTAATTAAAAGAGTAGCAATTTGTGTTCACTGGAACATACACATTCTGTAATGGAACAATGGAACTTGTACTCTTGACTTCTCATCTGTGGGTTTCCTCTACACCTTACAAACCCTCAAGATATCTTAAACATCATGGCCTTTAACCAAGAAACTTATTTATAATAAAAATTAAGGCAATTAGTTCATTCCCCAAGAATCCCCTGTTGTTGCTTTTTTAGTTTATTAGCATTATTACCATAAGCTATAGCAATGAGGCCAGCAGGGAGACTTTTAGGATAATGTGCAAATCTGTGATCAATAAATGTTGCTGTTTGTCTCATAACCAGATTGTATGGGGCTAAGAAGCAAGGGGAAGAGGTGGAAAAGACCCTTTTCAAGTTGTTACATAATAACCCTCACATTTGTTTTTCTTTCCATGCCAGTTACTCGAAGTTTAACTGGTGTGTAGAAGTCTTGGTACCAAATAGAAAATTGCTTTCACCCGAGATTCATCATCGTTCCACTCACTTGCATTCTTCAAACTGCCATTTGGCCAATTGCCATTTTTTTCATGCCACTAGACAAATAGAAAAAACAGAGAGGAGGAAGAATATGAATTACAAGGTTTCCTAGGGTAATCACCCTAATTTTAAAAAGAAAATAGGACTTCTACTGCAGATAGAGGGAAACTGAATGGAAATTTGCAGTCCCTTGGCATTTCTTTATATAAGTATCATAGAAGACACAGTAATCTTCCAAGGTAAGATAACCAATGGTCCAGAACCCTCAGGGTTGAAGACATACATTGTGACAACATGGGGTAAAGAATCCTAAAGATGCTATGAGAAAACAAGAATTTTGAGCATGCAATGAAGGAGGAAAGCCACAGATTCAGCAGCAGCTTTATGACTTGTTGCAAAAAGAGGGCCTCTATTTTTTTTGCTTGCTTTGTTATGCAGTGTGTGTGTGTGTGTGTGTGTGTGTGTGTGTGTGTGTGTAACTTTTCTTTCTTATTGTACAAATCCTTGTTGGTGGTCGGTTTATCTAACATCCATAGGTTGCACGACATCAAGACAGGAAAGTGATCTGGCCAGAACCAAATTTTCGTCATTTGAAAATTGTGAAACTGAAGTTAAATAAACACTCTAGGCAGTTGGAAAAGGCAAGATAGATATGTTTTTATTTTAGATAAAATAGTTCTATTGATGGGGCATTTTTTATGTTTTTTATGGATGTTCTGAATAGGTATGGATGAGGTCTGGGCTACAGGGCATGTCCATTGTTTTTTCTCTTCAGTATTACCTCTGGTATTGGCAACATTACTTCGCTATTTTCCATTGGGGAGAAACTCCTCTCCTCTTGCAAGATGTCTACTGATATCTCAGTACAGTGCCCTTCCCTCTCCTAAACAAACAGAACACCTAAGCCCCAGGTGGAGCAATCAGACATGGAACACTTTGAGCATTTGTCATATAATGTCACAAGCTGGAAAACAGCTGAACTTCACTCATTTTACTGGAAGAACCCTAAAAAGAATGTTCATCAGTTTCTCCTCCCTAGATCTCCAGAGCTTCCTGATTCCTGATCCTTCTGTGGCCTGGATTTTAAGCTTTTCCTTCAGAAATGGAAGCTATTTTTAATAAAATTAATTCATTTAACAGAAAAACAAGAGTTGTTTTTTGTTACTTGCTGCTAAAGAACTCTAACTGACACGTTGCTCAACACTTATCTCAGCTTTTCATGAAAAGCAGTCCTTTTTATACAATTACCCTGGATCCATTCTCAATGAAGATTGCCCACCCTGGAGAGTACTACAGCAATTCACACCCTAGGAAGTATTAACTACATGGAAAGCATCTTCTCTGGCATGTTGTCAGCCTTAATAATGGGTGGAATTCCTTGCATCCTTTGGGGAGAGTTGCCCCATTTGTACCATCTTTGACAACAAATGCGCTCTTTTTTAAAGAAACATTCATCCCTCTTTGTAAACTATTCAAAATTATAGCTTTATTGGCTCTCCACCTCATTGTGTTGTTAGACCTTGCTACCTCCTCCAGATAACAATCACTCCTAACACTCTCCATTATGTGTGGCAGCTCATCCAGTCATGGCTGTCACTTTGAGGAGGCAACAATGCATTAGCTGAGACAGAAGACTACTGCTCCCACTGTTACCTCCACCATCACGACCACCTCCACCACCAGTTCTCTAATTTATGAACAGTGTTTGAGATCTATTACCTCAACAGCTTCAGTTCTGGAAACCTACTTCACATTATTAACTAGTAAGGATCTTAACTATTTCACCACTAGAGTCCTCTACTCTGGTCCACTAGTTTATATCTACCAAAAAATAACCTAATTTTGCACTAAGCACTCATCTCTGAGCTGCAGCTCCTTGTCTGTTATTGGAGTTAAGGTGCCTTTGCTGGTACATAGATAGCATTAGGCTGACCTTCCTGTGGTAAGCATCCAAAGGTATTACTGAGTGACTTGGATATTGCTTTTTCTTTTTTTTTTAGTTTTATTTGTTTATTACTGGCTGAGACATAGTGGCACTTGAAACAATGGGGCTGCTTTCTCTAGTTAATGTATTAGCCAAGTACATGGAGTCTGACTGCCCTTTGCTTACCTCCAGGCTGCACCAGTGCACGCACTATTCCAAACTTCTAACATCATCAGGGTTTGTTAGCCTTTAATAATTGGGCTAGTCCAAAAGTTAGTCACTTTTGAAAAGTCTATTTGGGGGAAATTGAATCTGTAAAACACTGTTTATCATACCACAATTCTCAAATCTTCCAGATTTAAAAATTACGTCTACAGACTGCTCTGTTACAACATGTGTTTAATTTTTTTTGTTTGTTTCAATAGGTTTTTGGGAAACAGGTTGTGTTTGGTTACATGAATAAGTTATGTAGTAGTGATTTCTGAGATATTGGTGCACCCATTACCCGACGTACATTATACCCAATGTGTAGATTTTTATCCCTCACCCCCTTTCACCCTTTCCCCCAAGTCCCCAAAGTTCACTCTATCATTCTTTGCATCCTCATGGCTTAGCTCCCACTTATGAATGAGAGCATGTGATGTTTGGTTTTCCATTCCTGAGTTACTTCACTTAGAATAATGGTCTTCAATTCTATCCAGGTTGCTGCGAATGCCATTATTTCATTTCTCTTTATGGCTGAGTAGCATTCCATGATATACATGTGTGTGTGTGTATGTGTGTGTGTGTGTGCATGTGTGTGTAGCACAATTTCTTTATCCACTTTTTGATAGATGGGCATTTGGGCTGGTTCCATATTTTTGCTATTGCAATTTGTGCTGCTGTAAACATACATGTGGAAGTATATTTTTCATATAATGATTTCTTTTCCTCTGGGTAGATACCTAGGATTGGGTTCCTGGATCAAATGGTAGATCTACTTTTAGTTCTATAAGGAATCTCCACACTGTTTTACACAGTGGTTATACCTGTTTACATTTCCACCAACAGTGTAAAAGTGTTCCCTTTTCACCACATTCACCCCAACATTAATTTTTTTTTATTTTTTATTTTCTGATTATGACCTTTCTTGCAAGAGTGAAGTGGTATCACATTGTGGTTTTGATTTGCATTTGCCTGATAATTAGTGATGTTGAGCATTTTTTTCTTATGTTTGTTGGCCATTTGTATGTCTTCTTTTGCGAATTGTCCATTCATGTCCTTAGTCCACTTTTTAATGGGATTCTTTTTATTTTCTCACTAATTTGTTTGAGTTCCTTGTAGATTCTTGATATCAGTCCTTTATTGGATGTATAGATTGCAAGATTTTCTCCCACTCTGTGTGTTGTCTATTTGTTGATTATTTCTTTTGCTGTGCAGAAGCTTTTTAGTTTAATTAAGTCCCATCTATTTATCTTTGTTTTTGTTATGTTTGCTTTTGGGTTCCTGGTCATAAACTCTTTGTCTAAGCCAATGTCTAGAAGCATTTTTTTCAATGTCATCTTCTAGAATTTTTATGGTTTCAGGTCTTAGATTTAAGTCTTTGATCCATGTTGAGTTGATTTTTGTATAAGGTGAGAGGTGAGGATCCAGTTTCATTCCTCCACATGTGGCTTACCAATTATCCCAGCACCATTTATTGAATTGGGTGTTCTTTCCCCACTTTATGCTTTTGTTTGCTTTGTCAAAGATAAGTTGATTGTAAGTATTCAGCGTTATTTCTGGGTTCTCTACTCTGTTCCATTGGTCTGTATGCTTGTATTTTTGTTTTGTTTTGTTTTGTTTTGTTTTTAATACTACCATGCAGTTTTGGTGACTATGGCCTCATAATATAGTTTGAAGTCAGGTAATGTAAAGCCTCCAGATTTGTTCTTTTTGCTTAGTATTGCTTTGGCTATGCAGGCTCTTTTTTGGTTCCATATGAATTTTAGGATTGTTTTTTTCCAGTTCTGTGAAGAATGACGGTGGAATTTTGATGGGAATTACATTGAATTTGTAGATTACTTTTGGCAGCATGAGCATTTTCACAATATTGTTTCTACCCATTCATGAGCATGTGATGTGTTTCCATTTATTTGTGTCATCTATGATTTCTTTCAGCAGTGTTTTGTAGCTTTCCTCGTAAACGTCTCTCACCTCCTAGGTTAAATATATTCCTATGTATTTTTTTTTTCAGCTCTTGTAAAAGGAGTTGAGTTCTTGATTTGATTCTCAGCTTGGTTGCTGTTTGTGTATAGCAGGGCTACTGATTTGTGTACATAAATTTTGTATCCTGAAACTTTGCTGAACTCATTTACCAGTTCTAGGAGCTTTTTGAATGAGTATTTAGGGTTTTCTAGATATAGGATTATGTCATCTGCAAACAGTGACAGTTTGACTTTCTTTTTAATGATTTGGATGCCTTTTATTTCTTTCTTTTGTCTGATTGCTCAGGCTAGGACTTCCAGTGTTATGTTGAATAGAAGTGGTAAAAGTGGGCATTTATGTCTTGTTCCAGTTGTCAGGGGGAATACTTTTAACTTTTCCCCATTCAGGATGATGTTGGCAGTGGGTTTGTCATAGATGGCTTTTATTACCTTAAGTTATGTCCCTTCTATGTTGAGTTTGATGGGGTTTTTAATAATATAGTGATGCTGGATTTTGTCAAACGCTTTCTCTGCATCTATTGAGATGATCATGTGATTTTTGTTTTTAATTCTGTTTATGTGGTATATCACATTTATTGACTTGTGGATGTTAAACCATCTCTGCATCCCTGGTATAAAACCCACTTGATCATGGTGGATTATCTTTTTTGATATGCTGTTGGATTCAGTTAGGTAATACTTTGTTGAGGATTTTTGCATGTATTTTCATCAGGGACATTGGTCTGTAGTTTTCTTTTTCCATTATGTCCTTTCCTGGTTTTGGAATTAGGGCGATACAGGCTTCACAGAATGATTTAGGGAGGATTCACTCTTTCTGTATCTTTTGGAATAATGTCAATAAGATTGATATCAATTCTTCTTTGAGTATCTGATAGAATTCATCTGTGAATGTGCCTAGTCCTTGACTTTTTTTGTATGTAACTTTTAAATTACCATTTCAATCTCACTGCCTGTTATTGGTCTGCTCAGAGCCTCTGTTTCTTCCTGGTTTAATCTAGGAGGGTTGTATATTTCCAGGAATTTATCCCTCTACTCTAGGTTTTCTAGCTAATGTGCATAAAGGTGTTCATATTAGCCTTGAATGATCTTTTGTATTTCTGTAGTATTGGTTGTAATATCTCCCATTTTGTTTCTAATTGAGCTTATTTGGATCTTCTCTCTTCTTTTCTTCGTTATTTTTACTAATGGTCTATCAATTTTTTTTATCTTTTCAAAAAAACAGATTTTATTTTATTTATCTTTTGTATTTTTTTGTTTCAATTTCATTTAGTTCTTCTCTGATCTTGATTATTTATTTTCATCCACTGGGTTTGGGTGTGGTTTGTTCTTGTGTCTCTAGCTCCTTGAGGTGTGACCTTAGATTGTCTATTTGTGCTCTTCCAGACTTTTTGATGTAGGCATTTAATGCTATCAACTTCCTTTTAGCACCATCTTTGCTATATCCCAGAGGTTTTGATAGATTGTGTCACTACTATTGTTCAGTTCAAAGAATTTTTTAATTTCCATGTTGATTTCATTGTTGACACAACAATTATTCAGGAGCAGGTTATTTAATTTCCATATCCATGGTTTTGAGGGTTCCTTTTGAAGTTGATTTCCAATTTTATTCCACTGTGGTCTTAGAAAAATACTTGAAATAAATTTCATTTTCTTAAATTTGTTAAGGCTTGTTTTGTGGCCTATCATATGGTCTATTTTGGAGAATGTTCCATGTGCTGATGAATAGAATGTATGTTCTGCAGTTATGGCATAGAATGTTTTGTTAATATTTATTAAGTCCATTTGTTCTAGGGTATAGTTTAAGTCCAGATTGTTTCTTTGTTGACTTCCCATCTTGATTACCTGTCTAGTGTTGTGAGTGGAATATTGAAGTTTCCCCCCTATTACTGTGTTGCTGTCTCATTTCTTAGGTCTAGCAGTAATTACTTTATAAATTTGGGAGTTCCAGTGTTAGATGCATATATATTTAGGATTGTGATATTTTCCTGTTGGACTAGTCCTTTTATCATTATACAATGTTTCTCTTCATCTGTTTTAACAGCTATTGCTTTAAAGTTTGTTTTGTCTGATATAAGAATAGCTACTCCTGCTCACTTTTGGTGTCCATTTGCATGGGATATCTTTTTCCATCCCTTTACCTTAAGTTTATGTGAGTCCTTATGTGTAAGGTGAGTCTCCTGAAGACAGCAGAACTTGGTTGGTGAATTCTTAACCATTCTGCCATTCTCTATCTTTTAAGTGGAGCATTTAGGCCATTTACATTCGATGTTAGTATTGAGATGTGAGGTACTCTTTTATTCATCATCCTATTTGTTGCCTGAATACCTTGGGATTTTTTTTTACCATGTTGCTGTTTTATAGGTCCTATGAGGTTATGCTTTAGGGATATTCTATTTTGGTGTATTTCAAGGATTTGTTTCAAAATTTAGAGTTCCTTTTAGCGGTTCTTGTAGTGCTGGCTTGGTAGTGGTAAATTCTCTCAGCATTTGTTTGCCTGAAAAAAAACTGTATCTTTCCTTCATTTATGAAGCTTACTTTCACTGGATCCAAAATTCCTGGCTGATAATTGTTTCATTTAAGGAGGCTAAAGATAGGACCCCAATTCCTTCTAGCTTGTAGGATTTCTGCTGAGAAATGCGCTGTTAATCTTATAGGTTTTCCTTTATAGATTACCTGATGCTTTTGTCTCACAGCTCTTAAGATTCTTCCCTTCATCTTGTCTTTAGATAATCTGATGACTATGTGCCTAGGCGGTAATCTTTTTGTGATGAATTTCCCAGGTGTTCTTTGAACTTTTTGTATTTGGATGTCTAGATCATTAGCAAAGCCAGGGAAGTTTTCTTCAATTATTTTCTCAAATAGGTTTTCCAAACTTTTTAATTTTTCTTCTTCCTTGGGAACACCAATTATTCTTAGGTTTAGTTGTTAAATGTAATCCCAAACTTCTTGGAGGCTTGGTTCATTTTTTAAATTTTTTTTCTTTGTTTGTCAGATTGGATTAATTTGAAAGCCTTATCATTGAGCTCTGAAGTCTTTTCTTCTACTTAACTTCAACTTGATTCTATTGCTGAGACTTTCCAGTGCATTTTGCAATTCTCTAAGTGTGTACTTGATTTCCAGAAGTTGTCATTGTTTTTATTGATGGTATCTATTTCACTGGAGATTTTTCCATTCATATCCTGTGTCATTTCTTTGATTTCTTTAAGTTGGACTTCACCTTTCTCTGGTACCTCCTTGATTGGCTTAATAATTGACCTTCTAAATTCTTTTTCTGGCAATTCAGAGATTTTTTTCTTCGTTTGGATCCATCGCTGATGAGCTAGTGTGATCTTTTGGGGGTGTTAAAGAACCTTCTTCTATCATGTTACCAGAATTGTTTTTCTGGTTCCTTCTCATTTGGGTAGACTATGTCAGAGGGAAGATCCAGGACTCAAGGGTTGCTGTTCAGATTATTTTGTCCCACAGGGTGCTCTCATGATGTAGTTCTCTCCCCTTTCCCCTAGGGATGGGGCTTCCTGAGAGCTGAACTGCAGTGATTGTTATTTCTCTTCTGGATCTAGCCACCCAGTAAAGGTACCAGGCTCTAGGCTGTTACTGGGGAGTGTCTGCCGAGAGTCCTGTGATGTGATCCATCTTCAGATCTCTCAGCAGTGAATACCAGCACCTTCTCTGGTGGAGATAGCAAGAGAATGAAGTGGACTCTGTGAGGGTCCTTGTGATACAGAAGTGCTGGGAAGGGAAGAGTGTGGTCCCTTTAAATGATACAGAAATGGGGAAGAGAAGTGCTGGGTAAAGGAGGGCATGGTCCCTGGCTAGGGCTGTATCCCCATGGACCTAGGTGAGGACAGGCATTTCCTGCCCAAATGTTGCATTTCCTAAGACTATCCTGGCCTTCCATGCTTCCATCCTGTTCCTATAAATACCCAAGACCCTAGCAAGGCAGAGACAGAAGCAGCTGGACATCAAGAGAAGCACATGAGAGGAGGAACACATGGGTGGATGGACATCCAGAGAAGCATATCAGCAGGCACTGGCACACCAGCAGGCCACAAACTGGCAGAATGATGCAGAGGTTGGTTGGAGAAGTTGGAGGAGAGCCCAGGCTGCTGAGCAGCCTGACTTCAGGGGAAAACCTTCCCACTCCATCCCCCTTTTGGCTTCCCCCATCTGCTAAGAGCTACCTCCACTCAATAAAACCTTGGACTCATTCTCCAAGCCCAGGTGTGATCCAATTCTTCTGGTACACCAAGGCAAGAACCTGGGATATAGAAAGCCCTCTGTCCTTGCGACAAGCTAGAGGGTCTAATTGAGCCGGTTAACACAAGCTGCCTATAGACAGCAAAACTAAAAGAGCACCCTGTAACACATGCCCACTGAGGCTTCAGGAGCTGTAAACATCCACCCCTAGAAACTGCCGTGGGTACACAGCCCCGCAACCTGCCCGTCTATATGCTCCCCTAGAGGTTTGAGCAGCGGGACACTGAAGAAGTGAGCCACTCCCCCTGCCGCACATTCTGTGAGGGGGACAAGGGAACTTTTCTTGTTTCACTTGGTTGTATTTTTGTTAAGTGCACTAGTTTTGTGTTGGTTGGCCTCCACCAGGAGGTGGCACCTACAAGAGTGCATCGCCTGCAGTAGCATAGGGAGGATCTGGTGGTAGGTGGGGCTTTGTCTTTGGCTACCAGAGAGGGTAGATGAAGACCATCAGGTCGGGCAGGGTTAGGGATGTCTGAGCTCAGACTCTTTTTGGGCGAGGCTTGCTGTGGCTGCTGTGGGGGATGGGAGTGTGGTTCCCAGGCCAATGGAGTTGTGTTCCCAGGGGGATTATGGCTGCCTCTGCTGTGTGTCACCCAGGTCACCAGGGAAGTGGGAGAAAGCCAGCAGCCGCAGACCTCACCCAACCCCCATGCCATCCCCCAGCCACTACAACCATGCCCCACCAACAGCATCGAGTTTATTTCCAGGCAGCTGGTTAGCAGGGCTGAGAACTTGCCCCAGGCTACCAGCCTCCCAGCTGAGACAGCAAGCTGACTCACAATTCCTCGCTGTCCCACAGAGCCTGGAGCGGTAATCTATCTGCTTCAGAGGGTCTGTGGATTCTCTTGTCTTTCCTGGCAAAAGTTCACAATATGGGTCTCTACTTAGTGCTCTGTCCATCCAAGTAGGAGCTGCAAGTTAGTCCTGCCTCCTATCCACCATTTTTACTTTGCATCTTATTTTAACTAAATAACTGTTAAAACTATCCATTCTAGCTTTCTTCTATTGGCCAATGAGTGTCTTTGGATCCATCCTGAAGATCAATAAACAAAAAGGGAACTAGTAATATACTATAGTAGTACTGTAGGCATGACTCAAGACCCCCCCATCATAGCCCATTCTCAGTTGCATCTTGATTTCTGAACATAGTATCCAGAAAAGGCTTATAATTAGATCTTCAAAAGACCTAAGTACTACAAAGATTATGGGAGTACCCATTTATAAGTCAAAATAAAAGTGATAAGCACACCATATAGTTCAATTCAATCTTAGTTTTCATTATTATTTTGACCCTTTTCAAATATAAAATATGATTTTTTTCCAAAAATTACTTTGGTATTTCCACATGGCTAATAGCACATGCATATACTTAGTTCATCTATTGGATAATCATTACACTCTGCAACCCCTCCCAAGTTTAACAGTTCTGGCAAATCTCTCAGATGCTTTGGTGGTAATTTTTGTTAAATGAAATAATTTACTGTAACAACATACTCTCCAATTTCATTATTTGTTTAGTGTAGACTTGAAAAGAAAATTTTATAAATCTGGATGTGAGCAAATTGTTCATAAATGAGAAGTTTTCCCAGAACACCTACAGTGGTGCTTTCTGTTCTGGATGGAAAATGCTCTAATGTAACACGTAAAGTGACCTCTTACTAGTGATACTCATATTATGAATGTCTACTTTGACAGAAAGAAATGAAATTTGGGTGAGTCATTTCTAAGGATGCTGTTTTGGGGATTAATAATGTGGCTGAATGCATTAGGTACAGGCAATGTATTTTGCTTGAACCTGCTTCACCTTCTTGGGTCAGAGGAATATGTATCTCTCATTTACTCTGGCTTCTGTTCCTTCTCCAAAAGTTCAAAATCTAATACAGTTCCCTCTGCATGTTTCTCCTAAGGCAGAAGCATTCCACAGCACTACCTCATGTCGTTCACTTTTAAATTGTGATAATTTCATGCATTTAGAATTCAGAGTTATCCTGATATTGGAGACATCTCTTATGATGTATTCCTACCATGCAGCTGTGAATTATCCCACAGTGTTCTCCAGCACCCCCTCTCCATTCTCTCCTTCACCATATGGAGCAATGACACAAGCAGTAAGGAAACATGAGTCAGTTACATTTTGATGACAACTCAAGAGATGGCTCAAAGCTCCTAGCCACACTTTCTCCTTCCCAAAGGTAGCACTTTTGCTATCCCAGAGGGCATATATCTCTCCATCAGCTACGGTTTCAGTGCACACAAGGGTGGTCTGTTGGACAGAGCATGTGCAGCTCTAACACTTCACCCATCTGGGATCCATATGGAAAATATAATCCACTAAGAAAGCCACTCACCCTAATTCATAATATCCAAATTAGCCAAAGACATTTGGGAAGGGCATATCAGACCTCACCTGCAAGAAAACCTCTAGACAGAGTCCTTTAACTTATGCATAATATATCACTTCAGTGGTAAATATTAAGTTTATAAGTAAAATATCAAACTACATTATCAAGCAGGCCATAACTGATGGCTAGACTTGTTTCCTCAGAAAACTCCTAATATAGTTCCATGTGAGTGTCAACATGCTGGTAATAACTTGTTGGGATACTTAGTTTCTCTGAATGATGACTTCTCCCAGGTCAATAGGTCAGTGCAACTTCTGTCTTCCTAATGTAGAGGCTGTTCCTAGTGATTTCTTGTCTGTCCAAGGATCTTGGTGCCAGGACATAATCTTTAAGTCAAAACAGTGAAAGGTTTGGTGATATGACTGATTGTTTATTCTCTACTTATGGAAACTGATGCACCCCCCACCCCTGCATCCAAAAAAAATGTTTGTAATTATCTAAGGTTTCTTAGCAGAACTGGGAGTGGGATGTATGGGGTTAAATAATGGCCCTCAAAAAGATATATCCATGCCGTAACCACGGAATCTTTACATGTTACCATATTTAGCAAAAGAGTGAATATTAACTTCTAAGGTAAAAGATGCAATTGAGGTACGGATTTTGAGAGGAGGTATCATCCACCCTGAAGTATATAAGTAGGACTTAAGTGCAATCACATGTATCCTTATAAAAGACAGATGGGGGTAGTTTTGACAGAGAAGAGCAGGAAGCAATGTGACCATGGAGGCAGAGATTGGAGTGATGAGGCCATAGTTCAGCAACACTGAGGCAGCCACCAGACACTGGAAGAGAAAAGGAGCCAATTCTCTCCTGGAGCCTTGGAGGTAGCACAGTCTTGCCAAAACCTTGACTTCAGACTCTGGCTTCCGGAACTGTGAGATAATAAATTTCTGTTGTTTTAAGGCACTAAGTTTTTATGATTTCTTACAGCAGCCACAGGAAATTAATACAGGGGATAACAAGTCTTTACTAGATTTGTGTCCACATCTTGTTCAGTGATATTTTGTTCCATACCCTTTAAGAGTATTAGAAAAAACATTTGACCAGTGACAGCATAGACATTACCCTTTGAGGTAATTAAGAGTTCTCATGTTTTTAGAAGACTTGCCAACACACAATTGCCATCTACAATTAATTACCTCATCCAAATTAGCCAGTACTTGCAAACAGTTTATGCTGCCTGATGGGGGATAGTGGGTGGGGACATCAGTGATATGTAGAAGCATCTCCAAATGGAAAAATTAGTCTTAAAGGAGATTTGTTCTTCCTTTTCCCTCTCTGAATAGAAATACATTAAATGAAACAGAGAATCACTGGCTTTCTACCCAACAGGCAAAGACACCTTCAACTTGGAATATCATGTTGTCTTCAGACATCAGTAATTCTCTTCAGCCTTTAGAAATATACAAATATTGCAATTATGGCAAATTTCTTCAAACCACCACAATCAGCAATGACTGAGCTACAATCCATTAGTTAACGGTCATCCATCCTGATGCATTAAGTCATTGATCTATGACAGGGTGATGCTCCAAAATTCCTTCCCCCAAGGCCATAGAACTCTATCTGTATGGTACTGCTCCCCTTTCAGGCAGCCAGAGTCTACTCAAGAATAAAAAATGCAATCCCCACCCCCACCTCACAGCTCCTTCTCTAGCTCTCTCCATTCTTCAAGTGTCAGGAAGTCACCCATGTCAAAACTGCTGATATTTCACATCCATCCCTTCCCTCCACATACAACCTGCATGTGAAAATATATTAGGAAGTTCTTCTGGATCGCCTGGCTTATATTTAACTGTATACATTAGTACACAGGGTGGATATATGTAGTTTGGGCAGATACCACTTAACTGCACATTGCCAATATAAAAAGTATAACGTGTGACATAGGTGGAAATTTGTCCCAATTAGTACATGTCTTCTCAGGTGTGCAGAACCTATGTAAAGCTCCACAAAAGAGTCCCCAATTTGTCTAAGCTGCAGAGGTCAATGCCAAATGTTGAAGTGGATTAGTAGAACAATGGCATCAAAGTGTTGGACACTCGTTACTCTGACTTTTCTAAAGACCAAAGATTCTGTTAAGAGCTGGTTTAGACTCTACCACAATATGACTTAAGTGTTGTGAAAATCTTGATAAGAAAGGTTTTTAGGAAGCAAGCTTTAACGTCAAATAAATTAAGCCATCTATATATTGTGGGAGGAAGGTCTGCAGATCCATTGTTATTGAAACAAAAATCGAGCTAGAGAAGAAAATAGAACAATAAATTAAAATGACATACAAGGAAGGCTAAAAACCCTATTCTGATTGCACCATCTGCCACAAATTTAGAGCAGTGTTTTCAAACTTTAGTGATTATACAAATTACCTAGGGACCTTGATAAAATGCAGATTTCAATTTAGTATCTGGGGTCAGGCCTAAGAATCAGCATTCTCAGCAAACTCTCCGGGGTTGCATACTGCTGGTCTGAGGGCCACACTATGAGAAGCAAAGCTTTATAGCATGTGCAAAGGTCTGAAATAATGTACTACCTTTTTCCAGTTAATTATGACAGCACATATGCTGCTCTTGGGTCTTGATTAGTTCAGTGCACTCAACTATATGCTTATCTACAAGCCTAGAAGAGCAATGTTGAAAGCTGATGCCTTGGGCCATCTGTTATTGCAGATTCCATATTATGCTGTACTCTTTCCATTAGAAGTTGATGTGTTACAAGATCTCCCTGACCAAGCTCTCTGGTTGATCAAATCATACAAAGTGACTTGCACCTTATGGTAGATAGCTGATAATAGAAGACAGTGACACTAAGGGTTTCATACTGATCACAAGCTATCAATATGAGTTAATAACAAATAAAATAAGGAAAATCTTATTGTTCCTCTAGAAAGTAGCTATTGCAGTATCATGACTGATGAACATATTGTTCTTTGCAGAATTGGTCCCATCAAAGCATTAGCTAGAATCTGTTTCTTGCAGGAACATAACAGGAAAAAACTAGAATTCATTTTTATTCAGAAAATATTTGAAAGATTCATAAAATTCTAGGCAACTCACCATAACTCACCGAATTTTTTATGTTCCTATGGAAAGTAGATGCAAAACTTTAATCAAGAACCATACTGAACAGAAATGTATTGACTATATTTCAAAATTCAAAGGCTTTCTGATTTTATATCAAACTACTACTGCAATAATTATAGTTTTGTTCTACCGACAGTGATTCAGTGTTATCTCAGGTGACCTCAATTTGTCAGTGGTGCCTAATCTAAGTAATAGCAGAACAAGACACTGAATGAGAAGGAAAAGAGCCTGACACTAGTCCTTCCTACTGGGTCAGCACAGGTGGAGAATTGTGGTAGAGCAGATGAAAGGGGCTATTCAAAAGCCCCTGAAACATAGGGGCTTGTTTTCGGAGAAAGTATTGTGAACATTTTCTAAATTTCCCATATATTAAAGTATTATGATCTTTTTTATCTTATACATGAGTCACCTTATACTATAAAATATGACCATAAATGTGCCAAACAAATTTGGGAATGAGACATCTAAGAGGATTAAACTGAACCTCAGCAGTTAAGTATTTTGACAACGAAAAAAGAAGAGGCTAGAACAGTAATAGACAAAGCCAGATGGTGAATTCAGATCTTTTCAGTCCAGCTCTTTGTACAGTCAGCTAGACTAACCTTCAGCTCATCTTTTCATGTTAAACAAATTGAAGCAATCCTGCTGAGTTTATAATGAAGCAATATGTGTTAATATCTCCATTCAGACTTAACTAAGACAACCCAAACATATTGTGCATATTAACATATTGATACGGTTTGGCTGTGTCCCTGCCTGAAATCTCATCATGAGTTATAATTCCCATAATCCCCACATGTCAAGGGTGGGACCAGGTGGAGGTAATTGAATCATGGAGGCAGTTTTCCCATGCTTTTCTTGTGATAGTGAGTGAGTATCATGAGATATGATGGTTTTATAAGCATCTGGCATCTCCTTTGCTTGTACTTACTCTGTCCTGTCACCCTGTGAGGAAGGTGCCTGCTTCTCCTTTGCCTTCTGCCATGATTGTAAGTTTGCTGAGGTCTCTCCAGCCGTGTGGAACTGTGAGTCAATTAAACCTCTTTCCTTTATAAATTACTCAGTCTCTAGTATTTCTTCATAGCAGCATGAGAATGAGCTAATACAGTAAATTGATACCTTGGTAGTTGGGGGGCTGCTGTAAAGATACCTGAAAACATAGAAGCAACTTTGGAACTGGGTAACAGGAAGAGGTCAGAACGGTTTGGAGGGCTCAGAAGAAGACAGAATGATGTGGGAAAGTTTGGAACTTCCAAGAGACTTGTTGAATGGTTTTGACCAAAATGCTGATAGTGATATGGACAATGAATTCCCAGCTGAGGTGGTCTCAGATGGAGATAAGACACTTCTTGGGAATTGGAGCAAAGGCGACTCTTGCTATGTTTTAGCAAAGAGACTGGCAGCATTTTGCCCCTGCCCTAGAGATCTGTGGAACATTGAAATTGAGACAGATGATTTAGGGTATCTGGTGGAAGAAATTTTTAAATGACAAAGCATTCAAGAGAAACCAGAATATAAAAGTTTAAAAAATTTGCAGACTGACGATGTGATAGAAACGAAAAACCCAGTTTCTGAAGAGAAGTTTAAGCCAACTACAAAAATTTGCATACGTAACAAGGAACGAAATGTTAATCACTAAGACAATGGGGAAAATGTCTTCAAGGCAGCCCTTCAAGGCAGCCCTTCTCATCACAGGCCCAGAGGCCTAGGAGGGAAAAATGGTTTCCTGGGCGGTGTCCAGGGCCTCTCTGCTCTGTGCAGCCTGGGGACATGGTGACCTGTGCCCCAGCTGCTCCAGCTCCAGCCATGACTAAACGGGGCCAAGGTACAGCTCCGGCCATGGCTTCAGAGTGTGCAAGCCTCAAACCTTGGCAGCTTCCATGTGGTGTTAAGACTGTGGGTGCACAGAGGTCAAGGACTGAGGTTTTAGAACCTCTGCCTAGATTTCAGAGGAGGTATGGAAATGCATATGTATGCATTTGCCTGGATATATGTATATATGATTCTGCCTGGATGTACAGGCAGAAGTTTGCTGCAGGGGTGGAGACCTCATGGAGAACCTCCACTAGTGCAGTGTGGAAGGGAAATGTGGGGTTGGAGCCCTACACAGAGCCTTTGCACTGCCTAGTGGAACTGTGCAAAGAGGACCTACATTCTCCAGACCCCACAATGGTAGATCCACTGCAGCTTGCACCATGAGCTTGAAAAAGCCACAGACATTCAATGCCAGCCCATGAAAACAGCCAGGAGGGGGACTGTATCCTTTGAAGCCACAGGGTTAGAGGAGCCCAGGGCTGTTGGAGCGCATCTCTTACATCAGTGTGACCCAGATGTGAGACATGGAGTTACAGGAGGTCATTTTACAGCTTTAAGAGCTGACTGCCTTGCTGGATTTCAGGCTTGCATGGGGCATGTAACCCCTTCCTTTTGGCCCATTTCTCCCATTTGGAATGGGTGTATTTACCTGATTCCTGTGCCACCATTGTATCTAGGAAGTAACTAACTTGATTTTTATTTTACAGGCTCATAGGCAGAAGGGACTTACCTTGGCTCAGGTGAGACTTTGGAATTGGACTTTAGAGTTAATGCTGGAATGAGTTAAGACTTTGGGAGACTGTTGGGAAGGCATGATTGGTTTTGAAATGTGACAGGGGCATGAGATTTGGGAGGGGCCAGGGGCAGAATGATATGGTTTGGCTGCGACCCCACCCAAAATCTCTTCTTGAACTATAATCCCCATAATCCCCATGTGTCAAGGGTGGGACCAGGGGGAGGTAATTGGATCATGAGGCAGTTTTCCACATGCTGTTCTCATAATAGTGAATGAGTCTCATGAGATCTGGTTTTATAAGTGTCTGGCATTTCCCTTGCTTGCACTCACTCTGTCCTGCCACCCTGTGTAGAAGGTACCTGTTTTTCTTTTGCCTTCCACTATGATTGTAAGTCTTCTGTGGCCTACCCAGCCATGTAGAACTGTAAGTCAATTACACCTCTTTCCTTTATAAATTACCTAGTCTTATGTATTTCTTTATAGCAGCATGAGAACAGACTAATACACATATCTGTGCTGCACTTCACACATTTATGCCACTAAATTCTTCTTTGCTAATATTTATCATGATGGGCCAAAGTGGAACTGCTGCAATTGGCCATTTGATATCTAAGTCATGCAAGGTACATGCAGACAAATGTGATATTGCCATGGAAAGCACAAAAAATAGACTTACCAACCACAAAATATTAGAAGCATCTCCTGTCCAATTGATATTTTTTAATATATTTGAAGACTGTATTCCTTTAAAAAATGAAAGCCATGAAATGAAAGAAATCATAACTGTTCTCTGGCTAGCATAATCAAGAGACAAGTCAAATTTTTTTCACCCACTATCAGTCTGGTTTCTCCAAATAAACAAAAGGAATAGAAGACACGCACGCACGCGCACACACACACACACACACACACACACACACACGAGATTTATTTTAAGGAACTGACTCATACAAGCCTAAAGGAGCAATATTGAAAGTTATAAAGGCTGAGAAGTCCCAGGATCTGCAGTTGGTAAGCTGGAGACCTGGAATAACCAAGGGTGTAGTTCAAGTTTGAGACTGAAACCTTGAGAACCAGTGGTGTAAGTTCAGTCCAAGTATGGGAGAAGATGGATGTCCTAGCTTAAAAGAAAAGTCAGGTAGACAGAAAATTCTCTCTTACTCTATCTTTTGTTCTATTTGGGCCTCCAATGGATTGATGAGGCCCACCCATATTGATAAGGGCAATCTGCCTTACTCAGTCTACTGATGCAGGTGTTAATGCCATCCAGGAACACCCTAATAGATACACCCAGAATAGCATTTAACCAAATATCTCATCACCCTGTACCCCAGTCAAACTGACACATCACAAATTTACCACCCCTTGTCAAATTGGCACTCACACATTTCCTTAAATCATACTTAATCTCCAAAAAAAAAGATAATAACAAGATAATTCAACCTAACATAATACAACTATTCTACATACAACCAGAAATACACTAATTTCTTCTCAGAAGAGGAGGTGAAGTTCTTAAATGATGTTTACTCTTCTCCTTGATATTCTGCAACTTAAATACTATGATGTAAAATTAACAATACTTAAATACTATGATATCAAGTCAATACATTTTATGTTACATGATAAGGGAATAAGAGGAAGAAGATAACAAAGCAATTTGCTATATGCATACATACTCATGCACACACAATATTCATAACAAAATAAAGAAGAAATAAGTTACAATCCTTGTTTCTGTAAATGGCCACATGGTGGTAGCTGGTATTTACAACTGCCTTCTTCTGTGATCCCATTTTGTATACCCTTTGTCTTCAGTGAGTACCTCAGTTGGTCATGGTTCTTTACCTGGTGGAGTGACCTGAGCTCTATTCACTAGTGGAGCATGGTTTCAGTCTCATAAAATGGTGCTTTTTAATTATTTTAATGATTATGTCCCTCAAGTGTATACAAGGAGTAACAGTGTAACAGTGTAACACCCTACTTTCTGTTTACATCCAGTAGAGTTCTATAGTGGTTCCATAGTAGTTTGTCATGTGTGTGCATGACAGAAAAAAAAATAAGAAAGAAAGTTAAATGTAAATCATTTTATAATATTTAAGATGTCTTTTAAAATGTGGATTAATTCCTTGCCTTTTTATTTATCTCCCAACACAGCATTTTCCTTTAATTCTAAGTTCATTCTCTTTGCTTCAGAGTTAATAGCAATGTCCGTTTAACATCAAACTCCAAGAACTCATTATATGGGTCATCACTGTATGCTTTGGAGAATTCAACTTTCCTGAACTGTGAGTCAATTTTGATTTCTCAATATCTATGCAAAACAGTTGCTAAATGCTAATAACATAGAAAATGAAATATACTCAATCATCATTTGGAATTTTTTATGAGAGAGACCATGAGTGAAAATTTAAATCTACACAATTTTTATGAGCTCATATATCTGCTCTGCTTATAATTACCACAATCATTTTCCAGCTAATAGAATAATCATTAGGAACAGATAATTTAATAATATGTACTCATTAATTGTTCCATATATACTTTCTTGACCTTTGAGTGAAAATAATACCTTGTAGATATATTAACTGTGGAGATTAAAAGGTGGAGGGCTTGAGAATCCATAGTTGGTTGTTTCAGACGCAGAAAGACATATTTTCAGAGTTTTCCTAGTAGAGCCAATAGAGAGATGAAAGGAGGTCAGAGATATGCTAATCTGCATCAAGATGTGTCAGACAATGGAGAAGATTATGATATACTGAGTTAATGTCACTGGTTATTAAGAGAAAGATGCATAATTTAGCATTTCCTACTAAAATTTTATTATAAGGAAACAAAGACGTACTGAGGAAGGGCCATCAAGCTCATCTCCTGGAATTATTTTCTTTTTGGCTTAATCCATGCTGATTACCATCACTCATTAATGACTCATCAGGGGAAAGTCTTACCTTTTTCTATTATTTTCATTGCATCAACTTTAATTAAATGTATTCAGCTATTGTGTAACAGATATTTTATTAATAACGGCTCAAACTGTCATGGAAAAATGTCCTGTTCAATAGTGTCATCATATCAAATTCAGGAGGGAGAAAAAAAAGATTTAACTCAGAATCCAGGTATAGCATTAAAAAAAAAAAAGCTGTAGTCTTACACATCTTTGTCTCATTGTCAGTAATACCCCTCACTGTAATTACTGCTACCACTGGTGATCACCAGAAACTGACATTGTGAACAGTATTACTTTAAAAAGGAAGCTCCAATGCACTACAGTGACATTATCCTCTTGTAATCCATGTCCTTTGAAAAGCCAGAGTTTAGCTTTCCTAATGTAAAGCGCATTTGCCTCTTTGTTCTTTTCTCAAGTTACATTAAGTTAACCAATGTTACATTTTTATTACAATATCGGTGCGCCAGGTAATATAAGTCTAATATAACTTTAATATTCTAACTTAAAATCAAAATTTTATTATTTGAATATACTAAAACTTATATTTGATGTGATTAGTTCTTTCAACTGTAGGGTCTTCTGCTCAAAGAAAAATGTGAGGAATATTCAAAGCTTAAATAAAACTACCAATTAGCATTCCAATTACCGTAATTTTTTTAAAAAATAATTATTAGTCAAAAGCAGTGCTATTTTATATAAACAACTAATTTCTTCTTATACTTAAATATTAATAAGTCCTATTTTCAATATTCTAACATTACAATTTTAAATGGAAAACTTCATGAAAAACTATTAGCACAATAAGATTCCTCTCTCCTTCCTCTATCCAAAGATAGAATTACATCTTTAAATTATACGTAATGGGAAATAAACTTTATATTATTACAAAAATGAAAAATGGGCTTAAAGAATAGAATGTAGAGCTTTAAATTAGTATTTTTCCTCTAATGATCAAACCACTATTGAATACACTAATTCACTCATGCTCTCAGATGCATTATCTATAATTATTTTTTATTTTAATAAGTCTAGCATCAAACACAAAGTTACTGAAAAGAAGAGATAAATAATATTTAAAATCCTAAATTAATAGCACACTGACCTGACCCTTTGGGCATTTGTTTCTCTAGTTTAAAATAAGGTGGAGGTACTGAAAATAACTTGGATTTTAAAATCAATCAGACTTCTGTATATAACAGCTACATAAGTTTTGGTAGGCTATTTAATATTTCTGAGGTTGTATCATGGGTGAAAATATTGGAAATAACCTACAAGAGATATCTGGTTCAAAATAAGTAAGTAGGGTCAAGTATTTCTCCTCAATCTCAGATTCCATTCAAATGGTACAACACAAATGCAAAAAAATTTCTGGCAATGCTGAATGTCTGGGAGGGTGTCACCAATTGATCAGAATAGTCAACTTTGTAGAAAATACAAAGCAAATGACAGCAGGACAAGAAAACCCAAGCAAGGCAAGAAAAGAGCAAAGCCATACAGTAAAAGAACAGGACCTCTTACAAATGAATCCTGATAACAGAACCCAAGAATAACCTGCAGCATGATTAAAGCAGAGTGATTATGAAAAGGAATGGTCAATGGGCCTTTTGCCAGGTAATTAGTTGAAGAACAGAGCAGTTCACTATTGGTTCTACCCTGAGGATATAATCACGCAATAGCTTTCAAACTGGAAATTCTGCAACTGAATATTAGTAAAGTAGGCAGTGGTGCCAGAAAGAAATGAAAGTGCTCCCAGGTAGCTTGTAATTAGCCCCAAAGACAAGGACTGCCAGCTCAGAAGTCAAAGAAGTTTCATAATCTGGTCATGTGCCCCTTCTTAACCCAATACACACAAAAACACAAACACACACACACACACAACACATATTCAACTACTTGAGTTATAGCTACTATAATCCAATTCTATATTCACATTTACTGCCAAGAGACACCATTGTTCAATTGGATAGAGAAAAGGCATCCAGGCCAATAATTTTGATCAGCAAAGATCCTCATCTACAAATGCAAATAATAAGAATCAATAGACATTTGAAGATATGTAACATGAAAGAGACAAATAAATCTTAAATAGAAAAATGAAATCATAAGCAAAATATTAATACAGAAAAAAAGGAAATATTAAGACCAGAAAAACCGTTTCAGAGGTATTTAAGAAGACGGTACAATCATTGGAAAAAAAAAAAAAAAAACAGAAGAAAAAGCTGCATTGAAAAAAAATAGAAGAGTACTTAAAAACTTAGAACATAATTACTGATATAAGAATTTAATAGATATAGGCTAAACAGTAGATTTTACACAGTTAAAGATTTAATTAAGAGATCTGAAAATTTAAAGCAGGGAATTCTCTCAGAAAAGATATGCAGAAGGACAAAGAAATGAAAAACATAAGAGAAAAAGAAAAGGATGTGGAGATAAAGGTAGTATTCCAACGTGACTGTAGAAGTTCCAGAAGAAGAAAACAAGTAGGATGAGAAATAGGCAAGAGTAATAATATTAAATAGAATTTAAGATAGAATTTTCCAAAATTTATTTAGATTAAAAAGCATAATTCTCTAGAAAAAATGAATGCATATGTCCATCAAAATGTGAGCACCAGGATGTTTATAGAAGCTTTATTCATAACAACCAAAACCTGGAAACAACCTAGAAGTCCATAAACAAGAGAGAATATAAACAAATCCTGGTGTCTTTATAAAATGGTACACTATACAGCATTTAAAAAAACACAAACTAATGAATGATCTGGAGCTGAAAACCATGGCACAAGAACTACGTGATGAATGCGCAACCTTCAGTAGCCGATTCGATCAACTGGAAGAAACAGTATCAGTGAGTGAAGATCAAATGAATGAAATGAAGTGAGAAGAGAAGTTTAGAGAAAAAATAGTATAAAGAAACGAACAAAGCCTCCAAGAAATATGGGACTATGTGAAAAGATGAAATCTGCATCTGATTGGTGTGCCTGAAAGTGACGGCGAGAATGGAACCAAGTTGGAAAACACTCTGCAGGATATTATCCAGGAGAACTTCCCCAACCTAGCAATGCAGGCAAACATTCAGATTCAGGAAATACAGAGAACACCACAAAGATACTCCTCGAGAAGAGCAACTCCAAGACACATAATTGTCAGATTCACCGAAGTTGAAATGAAGGAAAAAATGTTAAGGGCAGCCAGAGAGAAAGGTCGGGTTACCCACAAAGGGAAGCCAATCAGACTAACAGCAGAACTCTCAGCAGAAACTCTACAAGCCAGAAAAGAGTGGCGGCCAATATTCAACATTCTTAAAGAAAAGAATTTTCAACCCAGAATTTCATATCCAACCAAACTAAGTTTCATAAGTGAAGGAGAAATAAAATCCTTTACAGACAAGCAAATGCTGAGAGATTTTGTCACCACCAGGCCTGCCCTACAAGAGCTCCTGAAGGAAGCACTAAACATGGAAAGGAACAACCGGTACCAGTCATTGCAAAAATATGCCAAATTGTAAAGACCATTGATGCTAGGAAGAAACTGCATCAACTAAAAAGGAAAATAACCAGCTAACATCACAATGACAGGATCAAATTCACACATAACAATATTAACCTTAAATGTAAATGGGCTAAATGCTCCAATTAAAAGACACAGACTGGCAAATTGGATAAAGAGTCAAGACCCATCAGTGTGCTGTATTCAGGAAACCCATCTCACGTGCAGAGACACACATAGGCTCAAAATAAAGCGATAGAGGAAGATCTACCAAGGAAATGGAAAACAAAAAAGGCAAGGGTTGCAATCCTAGTCTCTGATAAAACAGACTTTAAACCAACAAAGATCAAAAGAGACAAAGAAGGTCATTACATAATGGTAAAGGGATCAATTCAACAAGAAGAGCTAACTATCCTAAATATATATGCACCCAATATAGGAGCACCCAGATTCATAAAGCAAGCCCTTAGAGACCTACAAAGAGACTTAGACTCCCACACAATAATAATGGGAGACTTTAACACTCCACTGTCAACATTAGATCAATGAGACAGAAAGTTAAAAAGGATATCCAGGAATTGAACTCAGCTCTGCACCAAGCGGACCTAATAGACATCTAAAGAACTCTCAACCCCAAATCAACAGAATATACATTATTTTCAGCACCACACCGCACTTATTCCAAATTGACCACATAGTTGGAAGTAAAGCACTCCTCAGCAAATGCAAAAGAACAGAAATTATAACAAACTGTCTCTCAGACCACAGTGCAATCAAACTAGAACTCAGGATTCAGAATCTCACTCAAAACTGCTCAACTACATGGAAACTGAACAACCTGCTCCTGAATGACTACGGGGTACATAACGAAATGAAGGCAGAAATAAAGATGTTCTTTGAAACCAATGAGAACAAAGACACAACATACCAGAATCTCTGGGACACATCTAAAGCAGTGTGTAGAGGGAAATTTATAGCACTAAATGCCCACAAGAGAAAGCAGGAAAGATCCAAAATTGACACCCTAACATCACAATTAAAAGAACTAGAAAAGCAAGAGCAAATACATTCAAAAGCTAGCAGAAGGCAAGAGATAAGTAAGATCAGAGCAAAACTGAAGGAGAGAGAGACACAAAAAACCCTTCAAAAAACAATGAATCCAGGAGCTGATTTTTTGAAAGGATCAACAAAATTGATAGACCGCTAGCAAGACTAATAAAGAAGAAAAGTGAGAAGAATCCAATAGACGCAATAAAAAATGATAAAGGGGATATCACCACTGATCCCACAGAAATACAAACTACCATCAGAGAATACTATAAACATCTCTATGCAAATAAACTAGAAAATCTAGAAGAAATGGTTAAATTCCTTGACACATACACCCTCCCAAGACTAAACCAGGAAGAAGTTGAATCTCTGAATAGAACAATAACAGGCTCTGAAATTGAGGCAATAATTAAGAGCCTACCAACCAAAAAAAGTCCAGGACCAGATGGATTCACAGCCGAATTCTACCAGAGGTACAAGGAGGAGCTGGTACCATTCCTTCTGAAATTATCCCAATCAACAGAAAAGGAAGGAATCCTCCCTAAATCATTTTATGAAGCCAGCATCATCCTGATACCAAAGCCTGGCAGAGACACAACAAAAAAGGAGAATTTTAGACGAATATCCTTGATGAACATTGATGCAAAAATCCTCAATAAAATAGTGGCAAACCAAATCCAGCAGCACATCAAAAAGCTTATCCACCATGAGCAAGTGGGCTTCATCCCTGGGATGCAAGACTGGTTCAACATATGAAAATCAATAAATGTAATCCAGCATATAAACAGAACCAAAGACAAAAACCACATGATTATCTCAATAGATGCAGAAAAGGCCTTTGACAAAATTCAACAACCCTTCATGCTAAAAACTCTCAATAAATTAGGTATTGATGGGACATATCTCAAAATAATAAGAGCTATTTATGACAAACCCACAGCCAATATCATACTGAATGGGCAAAAACTGGAAGCATTCCCTTTGAAAACTGGCACAGGACAGGGATGCCCTCTCTCACCACTCCTATTCAACATAGTGTTGGAATTTCTGGCCAGGGCAATCAGGCAGGAGAAAGAAATAAAGGATATTCAATTAGGAAAAGAGGAAGTCAAACTGTCCCTGTTTGCAGATGACATGATTGTATATATAGAAAACCCCATCGTCTCAGCCCAAAATCTCCTCAAGCTGGTAAGCAACTTCAGCAAAGTCTCAGGAGACAAAATCAATGTGCAAAAATCACAAGCATTCTTATACACCAATAATGGACAGAGAGCCAAATCATGGCTGAACTCCCATTCACAATTGCTTCAAAGAGAATAAAATACCTAGGAATCCAACTTATACGGGATGTGAAGGACCTCTTCAAGAAGAACTACAAACCACTGCTCACCGAAATAAAAGAGGACACAAACAAATGGAATAACATTCCATGCTCATGGATAAAAAGGATCAATATCGTGAAAATGGCCATACTGCCCAAGGTAATTTACAGATTCAATGCCATACCCATCAAGCTACCAATGACTTTCTTCACAGATTTGGAAAAAACTACTTTAAAGTTCATATGGAACCAAAAAACAGCCCGCATTGCCAAGTCAATCCTAAGCCAAAAGAACAAAGCTGGAGGCATCAAACAACCTGACTTCAAACTATCCTACAAGGCTACAGTAACCAAAACAGCATGGTACTGGTACCAAAACAGAGATACAGACCAATGGAAAAGAATAGAGCACTCAGAAATAATACCATATATCTACAACCATCTGATCTTTGACAAACCTGACAAAAACAAGAAAAGGAGAAAGGATTCCCTATTTAATAAATGGTGCATGAAAACTGGCTAGCCATTTGTAGAAAGCTGAAACTGGATCCCTTCCTTACACCTTACACAAAAATTAATTCAAGATGGATTAAAGACTTAAATGTTAGACCTAAATCCATAAAAACCCTAGAAGAAAACCTAGGCAATACCATTCAGGACATAGGCATGGGCAAGTACTTCATTACTAAAACACCAAAAGCAATGGCAACAAAAGACAAAATTGACAAATGGGATCTAATTAAACTAAAGAGCTTCTGCACAGCAAAAGAAACTACCATCAGAGTGAACAGGCAACCTACAGAATGGGAGAAAATTTTTGCAGTCTACTCATCTGACAAAGGGCTAATATCCAGAATCTACAAAGAACTCAAACAAATTTACAAGAAAAAAACAAACAACTCCATCAACAAGTGGGCAAAGGATATGAACAGACACTTCTCAAAAGAAGACATTTATGCAGCCAACAGACACATGAAAAAATGCTCATCATCACTGGCCATCAGAGAAATGCAAATCAAAACCACAATGAGATACCATCTCACACCAGTTAGAACGGCGATCATTAAAAAGTCAGGAAACAAGAGGTGCCGGAGAGGATGTGGAGAAATAGCAAAACTTTTACACTGTTGGTGGCACTGTAAACTAGTTCAACCATTGTGGAAGACAGTGTGGCAATTCCTCAAGGGTCTAGAACTAGAAATACCATTTGACCCAGCCATCCCATTACTGGGTATACACCTAAAGGATTATAAATCATGCTGCTATAAAGACACATGCACATGTATGCTTATTGCGGCACTATTCACAATAGCAAAGACTTGGAACCAAACGAAATGTCCATCAATGACAGACTGGATTAAGAAAATGTGGCACACATACACCATGGAATACTATGCAGCCATAAAAAAGGATGAGTCCATGTCCTTTGTAGGGACATGGATGAAGCTGGAAACCATCATTCTCAGTAAACTATTGTAAGGACAAAAAACCAAACACTGCATGTTCTCACTCACAGGTGGGAATTGAACAATGAGAACACTTGGACACAGGAAGGTGAACATCACACACCGAGGCCTGTTGTGGGGTTGGCGGGGGGCGGGTAGGGATAGCATTAGGAGATATACCTAATGTAAATGATGAGTTAATGGGTGCATTACACCAACATGGCACATGTATATATATGTAACAAACCTGCACATTGTGCACATGTACCCTAGAACTTAAAGTATAATTAAAAAAAAAAAGAAGTCAGATACAAAGGAGTTCATATCACATTTGTGAGTCAAAAATAAGCAAAACAAATCAGTGGTGAAGGAGTCACTGTATCGGATTTTGCAGAAGGAGGTGAGAACAGGAACTTAGGAAAAATATAAGGCACCATTCTGAAAAGTGATTTTTGGTGTTTACATGGTATATGTATATATGTAAAATTTCAAGTTATACACTGATTTGTGAGCTTTACAATATTCATTTTTACCTCAATTAAAAATACATTAGTGGCTGGGCGTGGTGGCTCACGCCTGTAATCTCAGCACTTTGGGAGGCCGAGACGGGCGGACTGCTTGAGGTCAGGCGTTCGAGAGCAGGCTGGCCAACGTGGTGAAACACCGTCTCTACTAAAAATACAAAAATTAGCGGGGCATGGTGGTGCATGCCTGTAGTCCCAGCTACTCGGGAGGATGAGGTGGGAGAATTGTTTCAACTTGGGAGGCGGAGGTTTCAAATGGCACCATTGCACTCCAGCCTGGGTGACAGAGCAAGACTCCATTTCAAAAAAAAAAAAAAAATTAGAGTTCATCACAAAAATAGAATAGTCATAGCTTTCTATAAATAGAAAGCTTTTTGTAACAAAGAGCTTCTAGTTACCTCTCTACATACTTTTGTCTTTTGATTTTTAATTGTAATATGTATAATCATATTATTTTAAAGACAAAGCTTGCGTGCCATGTGCCTAGTATAGTGCCTTTTATGCTCAAGAAATGATAGTGCTTTATCATACTTTAAAATTTGATGACTTGTTTGAATTGAGTAAACTGGTTAATAGAAATATTCATACAGTCAGCACATACACAGAATAGCAATGTATTAATCCTTTTTCATGCTGCTATAAACAACTGTCCAAGACTGGTTAATTTATAAAGGAAAGAGGTTTAATTGACTCACAGTTCAGCATGGCTTGGGAGGCCTCAGGAAACTTACAATAATGGTGGAAGGTGAAGGAGAAGCAAGGCACCTTCTTCACAAAGTGGCAGAAAGGAGAAGTGCCAACAGGGGAAATGCCAGATGCTTATAAAATAATCAGATCTTGTGAGACTTACTCATTATCACAGGAACAGCATGGGGGAAACTCCCATGATCCAACTACCTCCACCTGGTCCCACCCTTGACAGATGGGGATTATTACAATTCAAGGTGAGATTTGGGTGGGGACACAGAGCCAAACCATGTCAAGCACCCTTTGTGTATTATAATACTCTGGAGATTTAAAATATTTCTATGGCCTTAGATTTTCACTAAAGCTCTGCAAGGATTTCCATGTTTTATTTCTGATCTAAAAATGAAATCGCTGGGATTCATCTACTCAATGATCATTTAGAAAAGTTTGCTGTCAGGAGTGTAACCTGTATCTGCTGACTTCAAATTGTTTAAAATTTCCACTAACCTCGCTGTGAGAATCTGAGGAAACGTAAGTGAAATACTATTATTCTTGTCATAGATCATGGAGTAAAAACAGCCTGTCAAGGTCAAACATGCAAAGTAATGAGGATTTTTTTTTCTTTTTTACCTCTGAGCCATAATTTGGTCACCACTTCACTTATGATATCCAACCAATTAACACCCTCTGTGAACATTTGGAAAATGCTTCAATTTCCAAATATTAGATTGGCTACTTGTCCTTTATTAGAAATGGAAATTGAAGAAGCAACAAAGCAATACACTTCCATAGATTCTAGCTGATAGCCTGTGAATTCCAAGTGCTGCACCTAAAACTATTTCAAGGTCACAAGTAACATAAACTTGTTAGGTATTTGTTAATAATAAAGAAAATGAAATAGGAAAATGGTAATATTGCCAGAACCTCGGCATATGTTGATTTCTTTTATTGAACTGCTAATGTTGACATAAAAAAGAAAGGTCAGATAAAGTTTCTTCAATAATTTTGAATTCTAAAATGTCATTAGGCAAAACTTCTTAAACACAAAAACTAATAAAGATAATATGAAATTAGTAACATGACTCATGCTACTTATTAGTATTTCCTTCCTTGCCCATTCCTTAAGCAGATGAAACTACTCTGTCTTCTTATAAATTAATGCCATAGGCTTAAAGATAGTAAAAGCATGCAAACACTATATTCTCATAGATAGCTTCATCTCCAAATTGATGTTAGCATTAAGGATATCTGTATAATAAAAAACTATCTATGTTACAGAAAAGTCTCCGTTGTTGAACTTCTACATTCCTGAATTTCAGATAATTACAGCGATTTATTGTCCTTGGAATTTATGGTCATTTTGTGGGCAAATGTAAATTGCCATTTTCTTTCAGCACAATATGTTATAATTTCAGAGCTATTTAAGTAATGCACCAAAAAAAAGCACAGAGAGTAGATAAATGGAAATTGCTAAAAGTAATTCAATAAATAACAATCAAAGCAGGACAATCAAAAAGGAAAGTCTTGTGGGGAAAAAAAAAAGCCAAATTTAGAACCTTTAAAAGTGAGTCTTATTTTGTTTCTTGAAATATTATTTAACACGTCTACTCTTTTGGATCTGAGAAGTTGGATCACAATGGAAAAGGGATAAAATTCACCCCCCGCCCCCTTATGTACCCCTTGGGTTCTTTTCTTCAGCTTCAATTTTCTGATGTTCTATACTGGGCTCAAACTTGATACTCCTAATGAGGCGAAGAAACACTCACTTCATTCCTTAGGAAAACTGCATTCAGCTCAAAAGTTCATATGAACAGTTTTATTAAAATGCAAAACCAAAAGCATGCAAAAAAAGACTGTATAAAGTTTGGCTAGAGTAATAAATAGGGACTCTCACTAAGATCGGATAGTCTCCATTGCTCTGGATGTTCTATAAAGATACCAAAGTAAGATTTGCAAACACACTAGTTGCCTGTCTGATGAGAGTTCCAACTTCTCTCTAGATTTCTTTCTAGTTCAAATTCTACCTATGAACAGCTCATCAATAACCATCCTAGCATCTGGTTTGACTTAATTCCATTGCAAAGAGCTTTATGGAAAAAATTTTCTACACTCCAGGTTGTAACACGAAAACCTTGGGACTGTAATATCCTTCCCAACTCCCAAAATAGGAAGTTTCTGAGAGTCCGAAGAATAATGCAGACAAGTCCAGCTGGACAAGTGGATGAATTTATTAAGACTTACATATGGGGGCACTCCTGGGTGGCAGCAGGATGACTCTAGAGATCCATGCTGCCTCCCATCTCTAGGCTGCTTTTTAGCTAATTTTCTGGCCCTTTGTCTACTGTGTGTGTGCCATGGGATTGTTTCCCTTGATAGTTTCATATTCTCTGGGAAGCTATGTAAATGATGTTAGCCTGGCCTGTTTGAAAACTATAAAAAGAAGCATGGTCTATATCAAAGTGATGTCAAAGGAACATCTGTTCCCTGGTTGGGTACCATGGCCTTGACTCACCACCAGGCCTTCAGAGTTCAAGCAGCTACCATACACCCGTAGGTAACCAGGTAGGGGAGGTGTCAAACTACAAAGGTAGGCTAAGTGTCTGCCACTACAGGATTTGCCTGGATTTCCTAGGATAGAAGAGTCTATCCATAAGCAGAAAAATAGAGAAATAACTGTACTGAACCCTGAGGGGTGTGGGAGAGATAAGGGGGTGGTCAGTGATTGAGAGGGAGAATCCCTAGTGAGCCACACAGCTTCAGAGGTTCTTCATGAAAACCAAAATACCTAAGACATTTCTTCAAGTTATTTGCTGTGTTGGGTACAAGGTAAACTCACTTATTTGTCCTCCATTTTAAATTATTCTATATTGTTTACTAATGCTTTGACAAAAGGATAGAATTATTGAGTAAGACTCAAAGGAGAGGTCTGGGGGTCAACTGCCATATCAATTATGCACAAGCTGTTCTAAATGGCCACTCTATACTTGTAAATCTGCACCTACCTACTTCCTAAATTATCTGGAAAAAGTTGGAAATTTAGTAATTGTTCCTCTATTGTCAAAGTTATAATATACGACTAAAAAGTACCACGGTCAGCAAAACTTGTTTGGCAAAACAAAGGTCTTACATAAAGTATGGGGTTAACAAAAAAACAATAAAATGGCAATAAATACAACTTTCAAGCAGTAAGCAGACTTTCTAGAAGACATTTGTTTCCGAACCAAACTAAATTTATCCATCAAAACCTAAGTTGGTTTTTGAATCCTCGCCATCAGGAAACGCTGCAGAGCTTTCTGCTGAGACAAATTCTTTCATAAGTTTTATGCTATGCAGACTCAGTGTCAGCTCCAGAATTTCTATTTAAAAAGTTTATGGACAGCTATTTAGTTGGAAGCTGGGGATATGATTTGAAGCAGGACTTACTCTAATAAGCACATTACTGCAAATGTATATTTTGGAATTGGGTTAGGGTTAGGGTTAAGGTTATGGGGAAAGCAGAGTTTATCAAAGTCCCCCAAGCAACTCCTTTGACATCACTTTGATATAGACCAGACTTATTTTTACAGTTTTCAAACAGGCTGGGCTGACACCATTTACATAGATTTTTCCTTTGTTGTAGTTGTTTTCCAAAAGTCTCATCAAATGCCTGTTTAAACACTTAGAATTTTCACAAAATACCCTTACTCAGTGTTACCTTTTCTGGACCTGGTTTTTTATATTACTTTTTAAAATTTTCTTTTTGCAGAGATGGAGACTTGTTGCATTGCCCAGGCTAGTCTTGAACTCCTGGCCTCAAGTATTCCTCCTACCTTGATGTCCCAAAGTGCTGGGATTATAGGGATGAGCCACCACTCCTGGCTGGACCCGGTCTTTTAGTCATTATATTGAAATGATAAGAGCATATAACAGATTTATTTGCACTGTACTGCCTAAGAAGTCTATAAAGCCTCATGTTCTGTTTATGAAAGTTTGAAAGGTGTAAGTTAAAGTGTATCTTGGGTAACAAAAGTTTCATTTTCTTTCGGGGAACTATACTACATTGCCAGGGCCACATTAACCAAGTGGCTACATTACTGTTAGGAAAAGGAGTAGAAGAAGGGAAATTTCAGAATCCTCTTGCCCAAATTTCCATTGCTCTTTTTAGTAATGTGCCCTATATTGTTCTCTAACTAGACTGTATGCTTTTGGAAGCAGAGAATTGGTGTTACTTGTATATTTACCATCCTAAATTATCTAGTATAGGTCTAGGTAAAAAAAAAATTGTCAAGAAATACATGAATTAAGTCTTGGACAAAATATCAGACTGTATGGCAGACAAGAAAGGAGTATCCCAGAGAGAGCACCACTTGTCAAAGTTCTGAGGCATGAGACAGGTATATTCTGTGGAGTTCCAGTAGAGCAGAACATGTCGTATGGTTTGCAAAGGTAATCTACATAAGCATTTAATTTATCTTCTAAAAGGGACATCCAATCAACATTTGAACAATGCTACAAAAACTAAATTTCTGAGGCCCATGTCTTCCTTCCTCACCTCCTACTATCATGAATAACCACTAACCATCTGAGGATCTTTGGCACAATCATTCCTTCTTCCGTCTGCAATGCTCTTTTTCCCTGGCATAGAGCACTCTAGCTGAGCAGAGTTCCCTTTCCCATTACTCCACATTAAGATACCTATGCTCCCTTTTATATATTTATTTGTCAATGAGTATTTCATCAGCCCCATTCCCTGACCTGGAAATATAAAATATAATTTGGCTTTCTCAGGGATAGCTCTGCACATCTTTTTTTCAATGTATCCCAACAACAAAAATGGTACCTGGCCCACAATGGTATTCTGTTATGGGCTAAATATTTTTGTCACCCCAAATTCATATATTGAAGCTCAAACCCTCAATATGATGGTATTAGGTGGTGGGGCCTTTGGAATGTAATTAGGTTTTTAGATGACATCATTAGAGTGGAGCCCCCAAGAGAAGATTAATGCCCCTATAAGAAGAGACACCAGGTGAGGACACAGCAAGAAGGTGGCTGTTTGCAAGCCAAAAGAGGGCCCTCACCAAGAACAAACTCTGCTCATATGGTTTGGCTATGTCCCCACCCAAATCTTACCTTGAATTGTAATAATCCCCACATGTCAAGGGAGGGATCAGGTGGAGATAATTGTATCATGGGGGTGGTTTCCCCCATACTCTTCTCATGGTAGTGAATAAGTCTCAAGGGATATAATGGTTTTATAAATGAGAGTTCCCCTGCACAAGCTCTCTTGCCTGTCACCATGTAAGACATCTCTTTGCTCCTCCTTTGCCTTCCACCATGATTGTGAGGCCTCCCCAGCCTTGTGGAACTACGAGTCATTTAAACCTCTTTCCTTTATAAATTACCCATTCTTGGGTGTATCTTTATTAGCAGTGTGAGAAAAGACTAATACATCTGCTGACTCTTTGACCTTGGACTTCTCAGCCTATAAAACCATCAAAAATAAATACTTGTTGTTAAGCCACCCAGTCTATAATACTTTGTTATAGTATCCTGAGCGGACTAAGACACACTGGTATGTTTTTCTTGGTTAATGTTGTCATACTGAGCCTCCATTTTCTGTTATAAGCCAATCCTGAAGGAAACAAAATATGAGTCATGTTAGCTTGCAACCTTAGAAGATCTAGTATTACTCTTACTACCCTGGCTCTGGCACCCAGCATTCCAGGAACAACCTCTGGGCATCCACAGAATCTTTGAGGCATAGGTTTTCCTTACCTCACATGTTTTGGAGCCAGTTGATATTACTAGTAATAATAATTAACTAAAATTTATTGAGTACTTATAAGACCCAGCTACTGTTCTAAGTGTTTTACATATATCATTTCTTTGATCCTCACCATAACCACATAGAAGAGATTCCATTATAGTTCTCATTTTGTAAATGAGGAAACTGAGGCACAGAAAAGAAAAGTAACATGCTTGATGTCACCTATTTGCATCAATTTTCCTACATTGACCTCAGTTTTCACCACGATTGAAACTGCACATGAACACCTACCATTTTCTGGCCAGAATTTGTATTCCCTTCTGACTCTGGTAGCACCCCATCTTGGGTGGAGGGAAACATTCTTCAGAACTTTGCATCATTCAGGTATCAGCATAAATCCCATTTCCTCCAAGAAATCTTCCCTGACTTCCAAGGTTTAGTTTAAGGGTCACTCCTAAATATTCACATGCAGCCTGTAGTAACTCTATTGGAGCACTTCTCACACTATATTATAATTGTTTATTTATGTTCCTGCATGCTCTTTGGGGGCAGAACCATATTATCTCAGGTATATCTTACTAAACAGCCTATCTTTGATATGCTGATCCCTAGCATAGTGCCTGGTACACTGTAAGATGTTCAGTAAGTAAATGTGAAGGGATGAAGAATTGAGTAAATGAGCCTATTTTCTGAGCATCCATTCTGATGTGAATGGAATGATCTCTTAGTCCATGATGCTGCCACCAGCTTGTGTCATTTTAAATATCACTTCCTCCCTGGACTTTGTTTATTATTCTCCTATCTGCTGATTGAATCTCCAGTGTAATACTTGCTTGATCTGCATCTGAGTTCTTTGAAAGAGTATAAGGTCTTCAAAGAAAGAAGAGTACATCTTGCTCACTACTGCATCTCCAGTATCTAGTATAGTGTCTGGCAGGTAGAGATGAATAAATAAGTATTCACTGAAAGAATTAATGAGTAAATACATAAATGAATTGTGCATGGTATAGCTCAACAGTCCCTTAAAGGCTACCCTTCAGAGCCAGGATAGGTTTCTCCTGCCCTTGTTCTACGAGCCTTGTGTTCCTTTTCTATCTCTACCAACTGTGGTGCTAAGGTCTAAATACATTTTATGTTCAAGAGTGCCCTAAAGAGACATCATGAACCTGTTCTCATTCAGATAAGCATTGCGAAGCAGCTGAGAAGTGATAATATGTCTTCCTGTATGCTTTTAAAGCAAACCCTCCTGTGCATCCAACAGCCAATACTAAGAGAATATCAAACTCTGCAAATTCATCCACAACAATCTTTTTGTTTCTATAAGGCTTGAGATCTGCCTGGTTCCTGATACTAAGCTTTTTGGCCAGGGTTTTCTGAATGACCCTTGGAAATTTAGTTCCATATTCTAAATGTCACTAAAAATTGACCCTATTTTTAAAATGTCCCCTTTGTCTATATCCAACATTTAAACTTTATAATATGACTTAAAGCATTTTTGATATATTCCCAGACTAGTTTTCTACCCATGGACTTAAAGTTAGCTTTTAGCTTAACTGATTTTGACCCTTAATGTTTAATAAGAATTTTAGCTCCCATGTTCACCCTTTCTCTTATTTTCCTTTGATGCTAGCTACCTAAATTAAAATACTTTACCTTAATTTGCAGCCTCTAAGACTCAATTCCAAGCACCAACTCCCCTGACATGGACCCCATCCAAGATAGTCTTGAAGAGTTCTAATGTGGCTAGTAGGTGAGACTTAGATATTTTATTTCACTAAAAAAAGAATGTATCAGCAACAGAAATACAAGTATGGTGTATCATAGGATAAATATAAAGTCATTTTTATTCTCTTTCCCTTGTCTGTAGAGTAATAAAATCAAAGAGGAATTCATTTATTTCCTCAGTGATCTCTAACATCATCATGGATTATAAATTTTGTTCAGAAGTTACCTTAGCTGTAGTTTTACAAATAACTTATAACAAGATGTAGTAAAATAGCTGAAAACTTATTGCTAAATATGTGTATTGACTACAGAGATTTAGCTCTAAAATGACTGCAAGTCAATTTTTTTAAAAGGCATAAACCTACTGGGGCAAAGTGAAAGGAAAAAGATATAAGAGCCGAAGAGTTTTGAAAACTGAAAAGCAGATGGATGAGTGGTAACTGGCATTGAAAACCTGAGATTAAAAAAAAAAATCCCAAGTCACTAGTCAGAAAAGCTAAGGAGAAAAACTATTTCAGAACATGAAGTCTCAGTAATTGGTGGTTCCAGGTATCCTGGGATGCCAAAATAAAGATGAAGCTAAAACAAGGTCTGGTTGAAAGTCTGAAAAACAAGCCTCCACACAAATGCAAGCCACTGTCACTCTCTAACCCTGGCAGAAGTTTGGAGTTGTATTTTCTGGAAAGGTAAAAGAAAGCCTTAGTTTGGCCGAACACCAACCACAGATATAGTTCAATTTGGGGAAGGAGGAAGGTTCTGTCTAAGGCTCTCAGAATGCTGCAACCAGATATAAACTCTCCAGTCAAGAAGCTGGAAAAGACTTGTTTTGGAAATCTGAGCAGTCCAAGAGAAAACACTGAAAGAAATTAACATTTGGGGTTGCTGAGTTACTTAACGCAAGGGTCAGCCTGATCACGATAAAGTGAGGACCACAATTAAGGAGGCCCATTCACATGCACAAGGCTTCAATCCAATTGTTATTGTCCGATTTTTAAATATGAAGCAGAAACCACCACATATATGAGGAAACATCTAATATGAATGATGATAACCAAAAGAATAAAAGAACAGACACAGCAACATGAAGGAAACAGAAACTATACAGATTTAAAAAAATTTGAAAATATTATCCATGTTAGCTAGAAAGGAATAAGAAAAGGCATTACACTTGTGAAGAAAGAAGTGAAATCTATTTTAGAAAGGGGAAATGGTACTTAGAGAACAAAAAGAGCTCTTGGAAATGCAAAATATGACAGCAAAAATGAAAATAAAATCTTAACAGAACATTTAGAAGATAAAGAATGTATAACAAAAAGATAGAAATAGAGAAAACACAATAAAATTAATGGATCACTCCAGGAAGACCAACATCCAGATACAAAGAGTTTCAAAAGGAAAGAACAAAGAAAATGAAGGGAAGCAAGTCTTCAAATAACCATTTCAAGAAATTTTCTCAGAAATGAGGATCCAAGTTGCCTTATTGGAAAGGCCTGCCAAGAGCCCAGCACCATGGTTAAAAATGGATTCAGGCCAGGTGTAATTGCTCACACCTTTAATCCCAGCACTTTGGGAGGCCTAAGTGGGTGGATCACTTGAGCCCAAGAGTTCAAGACCAGCCTGGGCAACATAGCAAGACCCTGTCTCTACAAAAACTAAAAACAAAACAACAAAACAAAACAAAACAAAACAAAACAAAAAAAACCACATAGCCAGGTGTTGTGGCACACACCTGTATTCCCCATTACTTGGGAGGCAGAGGTGGGAGGATCACTTGAGCCCAGGAGGTTGAGTCTGCAGTGAGCCAAGATTGTGCCACTGCATGCCAGCCTGAACAACAGAGCAAGACCCTGTCTAAAAAACAAAAAGCAATTTATACCAATGCACATCATCATGATATTTCATAACTTTATGGAAAAGATCAGATGACATGCTTCTAGAGAAAGTAAAACAGGTTTTATGCAAAGAATGAAAAATCAGATTATTATGAGACTTTTCAACAGCAATCTGAATAAAAATTATTTCCAATATACAAATCCAACCAAATCAACAATTAACACCAAGGTTAAAATAAAGACATTTTCAAATATTCAAGTTCTCTAAAAATTCATCTCCCATATATCTGTTCTTAGGAAGTTACTAGAGGACGTGATCTATCAAAATGAGGAAGTAAACCGAGAAAGTGAACCTAGGAAGAGTAAGACATGAAATCCGGGAAATGGAGATTAAGCCAAGAAGGAAGGCAAAATATTAAGAAAAATTGCAAGATAACTCTTCAGCAGACTGGGAACCAATTGGCCAATCTGCAGCAAGTCACAAGTCCCAGGTGAAAACACTTTCAAGAAAATGCAATTGATAGGATACTTAATGTGTTTGAATATGTTGGCAGGAGATTTTTAACAGTTGCAAAGAAAATTGGTAGATGAAAGAAAAACTTAACAAATACTATCATGGTGAGGAGATGGTGGGGCCATAATACGGGCAGGAAAGGAAGTTTTCATAGTGTACTATTAGGTTGGTGCAAAAGCAATTACAGTTTTTGCCACTGAGTAGTTACTTTTGGCTTAATTGTGAATTTTGTAACATAACTGAAATAACATAAACATTGTGTATTATTCTAACCAAAATTACAATAAGTGTGTATACATGTATGCTTGTATACATGTATACATGTACAATAAGTGTGTATACACATGTAAGTGTGTATACATGTGTGTGATGGGCCAGAAAAGTGAGAAAGGGTTAACTCCTCATCTTCTATAGCTGAAAGTAAGTAGATAGGAGCTAAAACTTTAACAGCGGGTGGAGGGCCAGAGGGAAGGAATATAAGTGATATGGTTTGGCTCTGTGTCCCCTCCCAAATCTCATCTCAAAATGTAATCCCCATGTGCCAAGGGAGGGACTTGGTAGGAGGCGATTGGATCATGGGGCTGTTTCCATCATGCTGTTCTCATGATAGTGAGTGAGTTCTCACGAGGTCTGATGGTTTAAAATTGTTTGGCAGTTCCCCCCGGCTCTCTCTCTCTACTGCTGCAATGTAAGACATTCCTTGCTTCCCCTTCACCTTCTGCCATGATTGTAAGTTTTATGAGGCCTCCCCAGCCATGTAGAACTGTAACTCAATTAAATCTCTTTTCTTTATAAATTGCCCAGTCTCAGGTAGTTCTTTACTGCAGTGTGAAAATGGCTAATACAATAAGCATGTTATTTAGAAATATATAGACAAATACTAACAGCATCTCATCAGTGTAGTATAAAGTGGGAGAGAAAGAAATAAGCCCCTAACATATTTTATGCTCCTTGGAAAATAGTTTCTAAAGGAAGGACCACCTTCTCAGCAGAAGGAACTTCTCTATGTGTCATAGTCATGTGTCTACATCCTTTTCTAAAGACCTATCAATCTTTTCTCAAGAAGTTACAGAGCCACCACACTACCATCACTCTAGTCTCAAGAATTCCAATGCTACTTACATATGGGTATTCATTTTTGTCTAGTTTATATTTGCTGCCAGTCCTTTCCTGAAGAATTTGGTCTTTCCATTTTCACATTCAAATTTCCTTTTTTACTGTGGTCCCCAGAGCTACGGCCTACATGTGCTACTGCAACATGATGGCCTTCCTGTTAAATAAATGTCGAACACACGCACTTTCTGTTCCTCAGGCTGATGTGGCTGTGCTGACTGATTACCACTTTTATCAATATTGATGGCCTGATTAGATTCCCATTACAGCACCTTTCACTCTGGTACCTAATTGAATTAGAGTCTGGAGGCTTAAACTACACAAGCTACTCCTGCTCTTAAAATATGCAGATGGTCTTTAAGGAAAGATACTCCACTCCCAACTAAATTATATACACAACAGACATGGTCTATTATGGTATTAAGCTCTAATATAGGTGTGTCTGCTGTGCAGGCAGCTGGGATCCAGCTAGTAAAATAATTTTAAATTTTCATGAAAAAAACAATTAGACCATAGCAACACTATAGAATATCTGTTTATTCACTTATTAACTCATGTAATCATTCAACAAACATTGGCAAGAATCTATTTTCTGCTTGGAATGGTGGTCAGTACAGACGGAGAATAACAGAGACCTGCTCTCTGCCCCAGTGCAGCTCATAATTGAACAAGGAAATCGGTTAACAGAACCATTAATTGTGGCGTGTGTTCTGATAGCTCTGTGAGAAAACATTTAGACCTCTTTCACTCAATATTCTAGGGCACACAATTTTTCAAACAATGAAAGTCATTCGATCTTCTAAACAAATCTTTCAGGGAAGTGGGATAAGGCAGAGGAGGATATATTTATTATTCAGCACCCACTACTCCAGTTAATGGTGATGACAAATAGACACCTCTCCTGAACACAAATCCTTGCTTTTTTTAAATGGGAAATTGCTGTGAAAACACAGGAATCACCTGAGAAGCCATGAAAGAAAGAACATTCTCCAATATTAGAGCCATTACCCTCTATCTTCTGTGACCTTTCCAGCTGCAGAAGTAGTGCTCCTTAATGGCTTTTAAGTCCCTGAACTTCAGACCCAGGCCACATTTATTTATATCCCTAACTTGCTAATTTCCCCATTCCAACCTTGAAGTAGCCTCTTGTATGCTACTCTATATCAGCAGAGGTAAGCTGTTCCACAAATTTCCCTTGACAGTCTGAGTTCTCTAGAGTATCCCATAATAAAGCTCTGTTGAGATCCCATGCAAGTGGCAGTTAATAACATATTTTCTGAGTACATCTCTGGTAGACAAATGACATAGCATGTAGTGCATGCACTGATGCACAGCCCAGATCCCTCTTTAGGAAAGAAGAACTTGTTCCTCCAGCTACTGGGAATGCTAACAGAAGATGATATTCAATCATTAGTTCTCTTTAAAGATTGCCTTAGCTGAAGAAAGCTGCCTTGTTTAAAGTTAAATCTTCTTTCAGCAATGACTGACATTCACACATCAGTGCAGGAATGCAGAAATCCTGCTCCTTTAGCCCTACAGAAAGCTCTAAAAGACCATCACGGTCAGCTCCAGAGCTCCTCATAGGGTCAGCTAATGCAATTATAGGGAGTGATCATGGTACGACTTCTCCCCAGCCAATTCTTCTTCCTTTTCTTCACTTTCACAGCCACATAGCAATCTTTAATAAACGTCCTGCTCCCAAGGAATACTACCTGTGGCCACAGGTTTAGAAATATTATGCCTCCTTGCTCTAAAATTTTACACAAAGAGTCTGAAAGTTACTTTTTGGTTTTCCTTTATTGGATTGGGTACTATTGGTAAACATCTGTGATGGAATTAAAAATTAAGAACAAATAAAATCTCCCAGCCTTAGAGTAAATTTCTGCTACTAAAGAGGATTCTGATTTGCCCTGCTTCAAGTCTCTTCTCCCTTCCCATGCTCCACTAAGGTTATCTGTTGCTTGAATGGAGAATCAGGAAGAAAGACAGAGGAAAGGAGAACATGAGGTAAACACTGATAAAGAGCTAGGACACTTTGAGGAGAGGTTGGAAGTAGAAGTAGACATGGGCAACAGATAGAACAGGAGAAAAGGGATGACGTAAAAATTGTTGCTGGGAGATCATTCATCATGATCAAGTGGGATTTATCCCAGAATGAAAGGATGGATTAACATATGACAATCTATAAATGTGATATGCCACATTAACAGAATAAAAGATAAAAACTATATGATTATCTCAATAGATGCAGGAAAAAAGCATTTGACAAAATTTGCCATCCTTCCATGATAAAAAAAGAAAAAACCTTAACAAATTAGGTATAGTAGGACTGTATCTCAACATAGTAAAGGTCATACGTGGCAAACCCACAGCTAGCATCATACTCAACAGTGAGAAATGGAAAGATTTTCCTCTAAGAAACAAGACAAGGATAAGGATGCCCAATCTCACCATTTCTATTCAACATAGCACTAAAAGTCCCAGGCAGATAACCTAGGCAATAGAAAGAAATAAAAGGTTTATGAATTCCAAAGAGAAAGGTTAAATTGTCCCTGCTTGCAGATGACATAATCTTATGGAGAGAAAACCCTAAACACTCCACCAAAAAACTGTCAGGACTAATAAAAGAAATTCAGTAAAGTTGCAGGACACAAAATCAACATACAAAAATCAGTAGCATTTCTATATACTAACAAGAAACTATTCAAAAAAGAAATTTTTAAAATTCCATTAACAATAGATACAAAAAATGTATAGAATTCTTAGGAATAAACTTAACCAAGGAAGTGAAAAACCTGTACACCAAAAAATACAAAACATTGAGGAAAGAAATTGAAGAAGACACAAATAAATGGAAAGATATTCTATGTTATATATTGAAAGAATTCATATAGTTAAAGTGTCCATACTGGCCAAAGCAATCTACAGATTCAATGCTATCCTTATCAAAATTCCAGGAAATTTTTCACAAAGATAGAAAAACAATCTTAAAATTTGTATGGACCTACAAATGAGCTCAAAAAGCCAAAGTGATCCTGAGCAAAAAGAACAAACTACCTGACTAAAAATTATACTACAGACATATAATATTCAAAACAGCATGGCTGATGATTGTCTTTCTGTGCCTGGCTTACACACATAGAACAACGGAACAGAATAGAGAACCCAGAAATAAACTATGCATTTACAGTCAATTGATTTTTGACAGAAATGCCAAGAACATACAATGATAAAGAATTGCCTTTTCAATAAATGATGTTGGGGAAACTGGATATCTACATGAAGAAAAATGAAATTAAACCCTTATCACACACCATAAATTAACCAAATGAAAATGGATTGAGGACTTAAACATGAGAGCTGGAACTATAAAACTACTAGAATAAAACGAAGGGGAAAAAGCCTATGACAACAGTCTGGGAAATGATTTTTTTTATATGAACCCCAAAACATAAGCAACAAAAGCAAAAATAGAGAAGTGAGAATGTGTCAAACTAAAAAGCTTTTGCATAGCCAGAAGACTGAAGAGACAACCTACAGAATGGGAGAAAAAATTGCGAGCCATACATCTGATAAGGGGTTATTATCCTACATATATCAGAAACAAAAGCAACTCAATAACAAGAAAACAAATAATCCAATTTAAAATGGGCAAAGGACCTGAATAAACATTTCTCAAAAGAAGACATACAAATGATCAACAGGTATATGAAAAGATGTTCAATATCCCTATCAGAAAAATGCAAATTAAAACCACCATGAGATATCACCTCACAGCTGTTAGGATGGCTATTATCAAAAAGACAAAAGATAAGTGTTGGCAATGATATGGAGAAAAGAGAACACTTACACATTGTTAGTAAGAATCTAGATTGGTACAGCCGTTGTGTGGTGTCACAGTATGGAGTTTCCTCAAAAATTATACCTATCATATTATCCAGCCATCCCATTACTGGATATATATCCAAAGAAATTGCAATCAGTATGATATGAGGAACAGATAATTGGCATCCAGTTCCTTGTGGCTGTAGGACTGAGATCCCATTTTCTTGCTGAGGACTGGTCTCTCTTTTTAGAGGTCACCAAAATTCCTTCTTACGCTCTTATCTTCAAAGCCACAATGGGGCAAGTCCTATATACACTTTGGATCTCTCTAACTTCTGCTACCACCACTATGCCATTAAAGGGCTCATGTGATCAGATTAGGCCCACTTCAATAATCCCTCTTTCTTAAGGTCCTCTGACTATGTATCTGCAAAATCCCTTTTGGCATGTAAAACAACATAATCACAGGACTAATAGCAGTGGCAAAGTCTACTTCAAATTCTACCTTGCACAGAGCTTCATTTTAATCAACTCTTACTGAGGATAGCTTTTAGATCACATTATTGATTGAATAACATTTACAACTAGAAAATTATGACTATAGACTTTTCAATATCAGGAACTTGGTAGTAAGGTTTATGTTGTTGTTGTTTTTATTTTTCTTGCTTGCTTGTTTGCGTTTATATTTCTAGAAAGGTGGATTAAGAGAATTTTGAATCAGGCTGTTTATCAGTATAATTTCCATAGAATATTATACTAGTGCATGGTAGTTGGTAAATATAAATTCTGATATCACTACTTCCTCACTCTACACTCCACATGCCAAGAATTACGGGTGGATCAGGTGAGGATTATATGAAACACTTCAATCTGGCATAAGGCAAACTATTACCCTCCAGCTGTGGCATCACTCAGTAGGCTGATCAGTACTTGCCAAAAGAAACACCCAAATCCACATATTCCTTTATAAACCAAGATCCATAGTTTAAAGGGTTGGAGCTGCAAAGGATGCCTTCCAAAACAACTCAATTCAATACACATTCATTCTTCATTCTATCAACATTTCATACGTGGGTATCAAGGGCCAACTCTGTGACATGTGCTGGGCCTGTGGTACTATGGTGAACAAGATAGATAAGGTTCACCTTACCTTGTTTAAATTATCTTCACAGGTAACACTTTCTCATATTTTAAAATTTATATTATTTATATATTTGCTCATTTACATTCTAGTGGAGGCAATGAAGGATAAATGAACAAATACACATATAAATAATATAAATTTTAAAATATCAGAAAGTGTTACTTGTGAAGATAACTTAAGGTAAGATGGGAGTTAGTGGGTGCATACTTGAGTTTGGATGGTGTTCTGGTTAATTTTAAGTGTCAATGTGACTAGATTAAGGGATAACTAGATAGCTGGTAAAGCATTATTTTTTATTGTGTCCACATGAGATTGGCATGTGAGTTGGTGGATTGAGTAGGGAATATCTGCCTTTAATGTGGGTGGTCACGATCCAATTGTGCGAGGGCCCAGATGGAACAAAAAAGCAGGGGAAAGGTGAATTCACTTTCTCTTTCCTGGATCTGGGACATCCTTCTCTTGGCCTTGAGTATCAGAACTGTAGGGACATCCTTCTCTTGGCCTTGAATATCAGAACCGTAGGATCTTCAGCCTCTGGATTACGTGACTTGCCCCAGGTCTCAAGTTTTCAGCCTTGGCTTCCCTGGTTCTGAGGCCTTTGGATTTGGACTGAGTCACACTACCGGCCTCTGTGGTTCTCCAGCTTGTAGACGGCCTACCTTGGAACTTCTCAGCCTTCATAATCATGAGCCAATTCCCCTAATAAACCCCATCTCATATATCTGCCTATCTATATATTGTATTGGTTCTGTTTCTTTGGAGTGCCCTAATACAGATGGTCAGGGAAGGCCTCTCAGAACCAATTACATTTAAGGTGGCATCTGAATGACAAGAAGAAGCTGAGCAAGCAAAGGTAAGGGTGAAAGCATACCAGGCACAAGAAATAGGCAAAATAGGCCGGGCGCGGTGGCTCACGCCTTTAATCCCAGCACTTTGGGAGGCCGAGGCGGGCGGATCACGAGGTCAGGCAAGAGATTGAGACCACGGTGAAACCCCGTCTCTACTAAAAAATACAAAAAATTAGCCGGGCGCGGTGGCAGGTGCCTGTAGTCCCAGCTACTCTGGAGGCTGAGGCAGGAGAATAGTGTGAACCTGGGAGGCGTAGCTTGCAGTGAGCCGAGATCGCGCCACCGCACTCCAGCCTGGGCGACAGAGCAAGACTCTGTCTCAAAACAAAACAAAAAAAAAAGAAATAGGCAAAATAAAGGCCCTAAGTCAGGCACAGACCTGGCATGTTTAAGGAATAGAAAGAAGACCAGTGTGACAAAAGCGCAGTGAGCAAAAGCAGAGGGAATAAGCAAGAAACACAAGGGTGTGTATCATACAGAGTAGAATTACTTCATGGCATACAAAACATGAATAAGATGCCATGCTAATCCAGTGGAGAAAGAAAATCTGGCATCAATTTCAAGCCATTGGTCCACGTAGGGTGAGAGGTCATTAAACTGGCCTTCGACTAGTTCAGCGGTGGGACTGCATGGAAGAGAAAATGCTATACATACTCATCTGATTGACGGAAGAATCATATACCTTTTACTGCTGTACTGGTTCTTCTGTTTGAAGCCTGAAATAGACTGTCTTGCAATTTCACTTCTGTTTACATCAGAAAACACAGAGAAAAGAATAATGACAAGCCTCTCATGTTATAACTATCCATCTCTAAAGAGTCAATTAAAAAGTTAGCAACCAAAGCAGAATAACATGCACAAATTCCTACTTCCACTTTTCCTATTTTATTGTTCTTTGAAGTTTAATGCCATCTAAAGAGGAATCTGTGGTTCTGTATTTCTTTTAGAAAAGGTATTAATACAAATACACTAATACACTCACTCACACTCATACTCATGCCATATACACACTGAGGAAAAGATATTATTAATATAAGCAACACAAATTTCAGGCAGATTAAAGTAAAAAGCATTTTATTTCAAAGAATAAATAGCCTACATAGTGTATTGAAGTGTATTTTGTCCGATGCTAAACAAAATATTTCAAAATTTGACTCTTCAGTAACAATAGTAAGCATAACTCTGTTTTATAAAAGAACCGTATATGATAATTTTAAAAATTGTCCTTTTTATATTTGGACTCTTACCTGGATTTATTTCAGAGAATTACAGCTATAGGAATAAGCCCTTTCTCAGCATCAACAGATTCACTAATCCGATCCCTTTACTCTCTGAGAGTGGCAAGGCTTGCCTGGTTAAATCCAGGGCTTTCTGGTAGATCCGGCTGAATTCCCATCTTACTCTGTCACGTCTTAATTACATTTCTATAACCAAGTTAATTAGCCACTCTGTGACTCAGTTACTTAATAATTTAAGTGTGGTCAAAATCTGACTACCTTATAAAGGTTTTCTCAGGGGAAAATGAAATAATATATGCATGTTATTTGAAATAGTACCCAATCTATAGTCAGCATTCAGTGAATGTTAATTATTATTTTATTATTTATGTGTGGCTCACCATATCAGAATGCATTTTCATTATTGTCACTATGTTATTGAGTACTTGCCATGTTTCAAGGCCTATGTTAGGTGCCAAAATATAGCATTGAATAAGACAGAATTTTCCAGAAAGAACTCAAAGGACAGATTCCTCAGGCTCCAACACAGATTAAACAAAACTTCAGCAGCTCTTTTTTATTACTGCTGCCATCCTCACATTCACATATCTGTCTAATAAATTATTCTTAGTATGTATCTTCCATATACGTGTGTATGTATGTGTTACCATTTTAATAGATAGGGATCATTAAAACCCTAGAAGTATAAGAAGGGAAAACCAAAAACGCAACAATGTGTTTTATATGTTTAACATTAAATTCCTAGGAAAGGTACAAAACCAAACAAAAAACTCATACACCATGAAATTTTATCTGTTTGGTAAAAAGGATCCTATCGGTAAACTGTGACAGATAGCAAAACCCACAGCACTATCCCTGCCAGCGTCTTCCTGCTGGGATCGCAGCTCCTGCAGCCCTGCACAGGGATCCCTATTGGCTCTGCCCTGCCAGCTGCAATAGGAGCAGCCAGAGCTCTTTTTCAAAAATTATTCTATCAGATTACCAAGAGAAGCCTTAAAGAATCTTTTTTAATGAATAATTGCCCATTCCTTTTTGGAGGGAAGGTGGATCAGTTTTTGTTCATTCTCCACTAAGTTTATTTAGATTTTCATGATCAGTTATATTATTGATTCCTACAATGAATGTCCTACTTAGTTCACTGTTGTGGGTAGGTGGTTCTCTGTGAGAGCTCTGTGAGGCCTGATTTCCACATGATTACCCACATTTCCCAAAAGAGACCTAAGTTCAGGAAGGCTCACCACACAGCTGCTGTGTGCACGCCTCCAGGTTCCTCTAGTCCAGGTTGCTTCATCTTTGGTCATGCAGCTCTCATTCTGGGTTACCCTTTTGGCCATCAGTAATGCACTGTCTTTTCCTGGCCCAGCTTTCCATAAGTGAGTACCTTCTGCCCCACTCAACAGATTTTAAGGCCCATAAAATCAAGGTACTTTGAGGTGGTCAATAACTTTGATTTTTATTTACAACCAAAATCAGGGATCTCAAGTCTTTAAAGTGTTTCCTATATTTAACATTGAAATAGTACTATAATTAATATATGTACTTATTTTTCTATCCCCATTATAAAACCCTAGTCCCTACTTATATATCTTAACAAGCAGGTACACATATATACTATGTGCAGTCAGAGAAGAATTGTAATATCCTTTAAAAGAATGCACGGTTATATAGATGACTAAAAACTCAGCTAAGAACTTTTCAGTAAAATAATAAAAATGAAAATAGATTACATTATTTGAGCATCCTCTATGTATCAGGAATATGTTTTACATATTACTTTTGAATGTCATAAAAATTTGGCTCTATTAGCCCCCCTTTAAAACATGAGGACTCTGAGTCTTAGGTTTAGTATAACAATGCCATGTTCTCATAGCTAGTAAGTAACATAGCCAGGTTATACATCCAAATTAGTCTAGGTATAAAACCCAACTCTGAACTATTATGCATTATACTTTCCTTCATCTTGTTGGCTAGAGGTTATATAAATTTTATCATTGAGCAATGAGTCACCCTAATTCTAGGCCTTTGCTTCTACAGCAGCCAGTGACTACTACACTTAACTGTTGTTCTCAGCAGCTGAAATGCCTACAGCCCCTTGGCTGCCAGTTCCAGAAAACCATATTGTTTGCAAACTCCTAAGAGAATCAGCAGTGAAACAAATTAAAGGGCATGAAAAAACTATTTTTAGTTCTACCAGGAAAAGAGGTGCCTGTAAAATATGCGAACTTTTGCTCTGGGACTATCTGTCAAAGATTCTTTCATCTAAAGATGGCAGTACTAACAGTTTCAATTTTTAAAAAGAAGCAATGAATTTCAGCTTCAGTAGTTATTTTGAATTATGTCAATTATTTTAAATACTTCTAGACTGGATCTACCAGAAATATCCTTTAACCAAACTTTCTTTGGAAGGATTGCAAATTTTTTTTAGTCTGAGATTAAATCTGCCAAAGCTTCCAGGACTGCTACTGAAATCATGATAAATAATTCTTAGTATACAAATTCTTATTTTATATTTGCAGTGCATGTGGTTGATATTTGGAAAAGGGCCTAGAAGCCCTACAATTATAATCAAGTTTATAAATTCTGTTCTCACTTAATTATAAATCCTGATTACATTTTCTCTGCCAGATTCCTGCCTAATGTTCCCATTTGATAATGAGCTCCATAAAAGCTATCCAGTGCACATGATTTCATGTGATGTTTCCCCAGGTACCAATGTACTCTGACTTGAAAAGATTACTCTGAGTCCATGCATCTGGAATTGAATTTCCTGAATTCTGTCATTCTCTGGAGTGCTACAATGAAGCCCACTAACTGGATCATACAAGTAGAAAAGGAGATCTCCTAAGTAATAATGAGGATGACTTATTGCACTCCTTCCTTAATGTTAGGAATACCTTCAGAGTTTGAAAGTTGTACATAAACCTACATGAGTATGGCAAAATCTATATACAGATGATAAAGATATTGATGGAGATGTATAGCCATGCAATTTAACCTCCTTCCAGGGTAACTTTCCTAGAATTAGTAAAGTGAGGAATGTAGGACACTCTTTCCTATTGAAGATGACTAAACACTGTATCTACTAGGAATGTCTGCCTTTTTATTGGGAAATGTTTTCAAACACTGTCCTGGGGGCTTTTTCCTCTGAATTAAGCAAGCCAGACAGTAACATGAAACTCTTTCTTAACAAACTCAGTCATTGCTATAAGGAAATACCAACAATGTACAGATAAAGTACACCATTGCAATATTCAAACAAAAATGTATTTCATTAGATACATTTTATCCTGCATTTTATTTTAAAAGAAATCTTATTTTCAGTTTTTTTAATAAGTAAATAATCAACTTTCCATGGTTCTGATTTCAACTCAGTCCGTTTCACAATTCCTCAAGAAAACTCCAGAAAAAAAAGATAGGGGAAAGATCACAAGACTTAAAATTTATGAATTTTTGATATTATACAGATAAGTAGGAACTCTACTATTAGTCCCTCCCAGCCCTCAGACCTCTTGGATGGAGCCAAGATGACGAACAGAGTGAGATGTGATTTGCTGAAATCAAATGATTACTTCAGTCCTTCCCTATCCTATTTCTGCAATGAAAAATGCTTGGTCCTTTTTTCTTTATGTATTGTTATTATTTAAAAATTCACATTTACACAGTATATTTCTTTTTACAAATTTTGTGTCAATATACGTGAGTTTAATCATTCCACCGAAGATGAAAAACACTACAAGTTATTTTCACACTTTAACAAGGAACTTCAGAGAAGATGAGACAGAACGAATGGAAATTGGAAATGACTGAACTAAGTCCTGGGGTCATTCAGATGATTTTAATACTCAACAGAGAGGGGTAAAGTACATCTTAGAAAATTTTTCCAAAGCAACTACAAGTCTCTAATTATATTTAATGTTCATTTAGCAGACATTTCACCCTAGAACAGACATTTTGTTACTAGAGGTTGTTGTTTGTTACATAGCAATTACTGCTCTCCATAGCCCCCAACCCAAGAGAGGAAGAAATAGAGAATAAGTAGAGAAGGTTTTTAAATGGATAAAAATGATAAAACAATGATAATGTACTAATTTTAATCAAATCTTTGAAGTATTTTCATATTCAAACTACTTTGTGATTTGTTATGAAGGGATGAACATACGATGACACAGTTAAGATTTACACAGTAATTTATATTCAAACTGAGAGATGTTCTTAGAATCTAATATATAAATAAATTCTTGAGTGATGTTAACAAAACAACAATTCAATTATCAGAAGCCTAATCCAGCAATATCTATTGTTAGTATGTGTGTGACTTTAAGAAGGTTAGTATTATCTTTCAAGTTCACGTGTGTGAAATAGTGGTAAACATGTGACTTTTTGCTCTATGAGCATATGTGCCTACATTTATAAGCAGGATAAGCTGGCACATTGTTACTAGAGATTGATGCAAAAAATGATTTCAATTTCTATGACTGCCCATGTTTATGTATCCCATATGCTGGAAGAAGGATTAGAAACTATCTCATCCCATCTCCCCAGCCAATTCTAGGTAAATAAATAGCAATAATGGACCATAGATTTTTATACTGCCTTTACTCCAAAGATACAACAAAAAGGAGTTGTGCCTTGAGTGTGGTAAATATGTATGAAATAAAAGTACACATGAGGAACCATCTAGAAAATAGGATTGCCAAATAAAATACAGTGGACTCAGTTACATATAAATTTCAGATAAACAATGATTTTTTTAGTGTAATTATGTCTCAAATATTGCATAGGACATAATTATACTGATGCAGGGCATTTTCTTGACCCCTTCATGGGAATTATGATAGGGGTGCCCAGTATACTCAGCCTGCCCTGTTCAACCCCTCATGAGAGGGAGCACGCAAGCAAACGAGCCTGGGAACTTGAGTGAGTGAGTACAGGAACCGGTCGGCCACTTTGGTGCTGGCAGGAGCAAACTCCGTGCCGGCCTCACAGCAGCATCCCAACGGGGTGCCTGCAACCCCATGACCCCAGAGGGTGTGTTACAATGCTCTCTTAGTTCCACCATCCACAGACAGCATGTGTTATCAGCTCAGTGGGCCCTTTGCCTCCTCATCATGTGGGGCAGCTGTCCTCCACCAGAGAGGGCAAAAGGGCCAGTGTGACAGTTGTTCTGGGTACCTGCACTTTGTGCATCCCAAATTCTTGTCCAGTGCCCAAGAGGAATGAGGTAACATGGATGAATTGAAAGATGGTGAGTGCGGAGAATTTTATTGGGCAATGAAAGTGGCTCTCAGCAGAGAGGAGAGCTGGAGATGAGATAGAAAGGGCAGGTCACTCTTTCCTGAAGTCGAGCCACCTTTCTGTCTCTCTCTTCTAAAGTGAAGTTGCCACTTTCCAATGTCCAGCTGCTGTCTCTCAAGTCAAGTCACCTCTCCCTGATGTCCAGCCACTTCTCTCTACTGGCTGAGTCTGGGGTCTTTATAGGCACAGGATGGGATAAGGGTGGGTCACAGGTAGTTTTGGAAAAGGCAAAAATCAACTGGTAAAATGACATCATTCAGAAAGAATCAATCAGGAGACAGCAGGCACACAAGGATAGAAGTTCTCACTTTGGGCCGCTGTTTTCAGGCTTTTCAGTTTGAAGGTGAGGTTTTGCCAGGGACCCACCCCTGTCTGTCTAAAGTTTCTCTGCCTCCTGTCTCTATCAATATTTAAAAAATTAATTGTTTATCCAAAATTCAAATTTAACTGACAGTCCTGTGTGTGTGTATGTGTTTGTTTGTGTTTCCTAAATCTAACAACCCTACTAAAAAAGTGAATGAAGACTATTCTGTTTTATATTAGAGGGCCATGGAGGCTTTGCCACATTTATCATTTGTACAGGATCTTGCACTGTATCATGTGTCTATTTTTTAGAACCATTGTTTTGTTTACCCCATCATTTGGAAATCAAACTTATTTCTCTTTAAGCATGGTCTGGAGTCAAATCCCAGCATCACTGATTTGCAGTGGGATTTTGGTCCATTTACTCAACATTTATTTTCTTTCCTGTATTCTTACCTTTAAAAATTAAGATATTAATACATACCTTATAGTTACAGTGATATAATTGAAATATCATCCATGAAGTGCTTAACACAATACTAACAAGTAGTAGTAGATTTAGTACAAGTAGTAATAGATTTAGTAAAATGTAGGGCTTGAGAGGGAAGACTCTGGAACTAGGCATCCTGTATTCAGAGCCTGACTACATCTCTCCCTAGCCACGTGGCCTCAAGCAAGTTACTACTCCTTCTACTGCTTCTCAAGCTCATTTGATATTAGAGCTAATGACAGTAAATCTCTCATATGGCTGCTGTGGAATTGAAAGAATCATTGCACATAAATCCCTGATAATAATTTAATGATAATTTCAAACAATAATAATCTTGATAATTTCATTAAGTATTTGTTAATTAATGAATTAAATGCACAATTTGCAACCTAACATTAGCAAATGCAAGCACATTGCATCTGCATTTGAAATTATTGTGTAAAAATTTGCCTTTCATAATAAATGTTGTGTTTACGATCACTTCCTAAATTCTAGCACCTATCAAGAGCAGAATAAAAATTCACATTTGAACAGTATGTATGCTTCCTAGAGCATTTGAAAAAAAAACTTAGCAGGACTATATATTCTCTCACTTGGCTTGAAGTTAACAACCTAGTGCCTGTTTATAAACTGTCAGATCATTTTAAGCATTTGTGTATATATCTGTTTTGTAAATTTAATATCAACCCTGGAGCACATGGACTGATTTGATTGAAAGATGTTTCTACCTATAGATATAAAATAGTCAATTGATGAAAGTACTGGTAAAAGTAGTGCCCTAGCACAAGCCTTCATGTTTTTACCTATATGTAGTGGTATTGAATATGATCCTATTAAACCATTTCTAGAACAAAAACAAAAGCTTTAAAATGGAGTGAAAATTTAGGAACAATGAGAATTTATCTTCTACTCACTTTACCTCCCTAAGACATTTCTGTTTTCAAAGAGTAAAATGAAATGCTTGAAAAGATGGTAGAGCAATAAAATTAGTCTGAAAACTAAATTAGCAACATCTATGAAGTCATATTCATCAATACACATTGGTTTATGCTACAGTAGCAAATTAACCCCCAAACTTAAGTGGCTTAATACCAAAAAAGGGTTTATTTCTGATTCATCCACACATCAGTGCAGGTCAGTGAAGCTTCAGTTCCATGTACTCTTTCAGCAATCCTGGCAGATGAAGATTCCACTGTGACAGAGAAAGGTAGAGAGTAGAGAGCTTACACCTGTTTGTAAATGTGTTGGCCCAGAAGTCACTTCTATCTCAACCTATTTGCAAGAAAGTCAAATGATTACAAGTAACTGGAGGGAATCTGCAAATTGCAAGAGAGCACAGGATGCTTATAAACTGTCTCTGTTTAAGAGGCTGTTATCAAATAGTCAAGTATAACACTCACCATCATAGCTCTTTTAAAATGCATGATGTTCCTGTCTTACTTCACAATATACCAATCACTATTCTATTTCCCTCAGTCAGTATTGAGATAAAAAAAGAGAACAAGCTTATGGTTCAAGGAATTTAATTATTTTTTCTAACCAGCTATAGTTGAACATGTCAGCCATGTTGATATTGAGTAATTGCCTATATATCTTGTCTTTCCTCACAATTTGATTTCTTTTCATAATGAAAGCTCAAAAGAATTTGTTGTTTCCTTTAGTACAGATGTTCCTCATTTGATGTTATAAATGTGCGACTGAAAAGTTGTGGGTAAATCAGATTTTTATAAATCGAATCACATTCCCATTAACTTTATCTTTGCTTCTGCTTCACAGTAACTCTGGACAATTTATCTTTAAATTAGTCTCAGTTTTACAGAGAAGAGTGACAGGTCAGAGGGTATTTCCCAACAGGCTGGCATAAGAATAGCCTTCCATCAACAGGATATGCACTATTTCTTCACACTGATGTGATATCAGAGTCCATTTAGGGAAAAGATGCTTTTTGAAAATAAAAACAAAAACTAAAAGGAAAGAATAGCAGAGAAACAACGTATTGGAGAAAGACATTACTTGCATTTTAACACATCACATTATATAACTCAACCTGGGTGCTAGTGGTTTTTCTGTGATAGAATCTACTAGCACAAAGCATTGGAATATTTTTCATTAGATATAAGACCTATTTACATAAATTTGCAGCATAATTTCATGGAGTCTGTTGATGAAAAAGAAAAATTCACACTAAAAAAATAAAGAAAAAGAGTTTTCAAAAAAGAGAAGTGGACAAGGCATTTACTAATTTTTCTTGATGTTTGTTCCCATACCAACTTTGCTAACTAAACACTGAAAAAATTGAACAATATTTTTTTTGAACTGAACAATACAATTCCTTTGACTTTTTTCTCTAAGTCATTTTCTCCAAAATGATTTGCTACAGTCTCTGGTGACTTGGAGTCATTTCAGCATGAAAAAGCTTTTTTTATCTGTTGTGTTCTTCTGAGTTGTTTTTTCTTGTAAACCAACTTTATTCCAGTTGTTATTCACCGATACATAGCAATCACAGACTCATAGAATCTTAGGGCAGAGAGGGACCTTAAAAAGCCACTAATCTTCTTTTGTGTGTTCTGAGCCATATAAGAGGAAATATCAATGAAAAATAAGACCAGAGGATGAGTAGCACAGAGCACAGATGACACTGAAGGAAAGGAAAAGCTAAAAGGATGCTGAATTCCAATGGCAGAATTGGAACAACTAGTAAGGTCAGTTTTGCCTTTGCAGTTACATTATTGCTCCAAGTATTTCACGTATGTATATTGACTACAGAATGTTTTAACATAATCTTCTCTCCAGTTATATGTGCCTTAACTATGCTACTATTTTGCTATAGAGCAAATCGCCATTATATATGTATAAATAATAAATATATAAATATAAATAATATATATTATGTATACTATATATTCCCCCAGAGAACAGAATGTTAAATGTATTCATATTTTTTGTCTTTTTAAATCCTTTTAAAAATGATATTGTTTAAATTTTTCCTTTTCTATTTTTCTTTACTTGCTGGTATATGGAAAGGCAGATGATTTTTGTATATTGAACTTGAAACCACCTTTTTTCCTATTTTAGTTTTTTTTTAATTTTCAGTTTTTGTTGGCAATTACTAACATATTCACTATATTATTATTTTTAACAACTTTATTGACATATAATTCCCATATCATGTAATAAAGACATTTACCATGTACAATCCAATGGTATTCACAGAGTTCTGCATCCATCACCACAATTGAATTTAGAACATCTTGATCACCCAAAAAGGAAACTTCATAACCATTAGTAGTTATTCCCAATGACTCTCAACTCACGCATTCTTCCCTTCCTTCCCTGGCCCCAGGCAATCACTTCTCTACTTTCTGTGTCTATTTGCCTATTCTGAACATTTGTTTTAATAGTCCTCCTATATAACTGTAGTTATATATCCTTTGACCAAAATCTCCCCATATCCTCTTTCTTACCCCAGACTCCGGTAACCACAATTCTACTCTCGACTTTTGTGAGATCAAATTTTTAGATTCTATGTATGAGTGAGATCATGTGGGATTTGTCTTTCTGTGCATTTTATGTATGTTACATGTTACAAAGATCCTTAAGAATGGTAGTTTTGTATCAACACATAGTTTTAGAAGTTCATATAAACATGAAAGGAGAGGTTAAGAAACAGAAATATGTTAACAAATTAGGGGAAAGTGGGGATTAAATTACCAAAGATTAAATTGCTTAATTAAGATCAGAGATTGGAGAATAATTTTAGAGGCTAAATAGAGGAGATAACTTGTCAAAGGATGAAGGATTCAGGATTTCCATTACAGCCTAAGAAGCTTCCTGAGATTCAGGACAGAGCCTTGAGATCCCCTGGATTAGTAATTTGCTACTTAATTATAGATATTTAAAACAATACAGATTGTACAGGAACATAAATACAGACAATAAATGGATATTAAGTACATGGGAAATGTTGCCTATGGGGAAAGGGGAAAGAGTAGGTACTGGGGTAAAAGGCAACCAATCTACTAAATCAGTTAATTGGAAATGAACCTCCCTCTGAGCCCTGCAGTAGTGGGAAGACTCGGAAATCCTGGTGACCTCTGATGGCTGAACTAAGAAGGCCTACAGAATCATTTACTGCAGTCATGGGTATAAATCCCACATAAGTTGCAAGGGAAGTTGTTGGTGCAGGACAGTGACCAGAGGCCCTGGACACCCACGAGGGCAATAGAATCTGAGACAAAATATAGGAAATGTCTTCGTTATAAACCAATGTGGCAATTTCTTTGGGATTTTTATTCAGGAACAGAACTGCAGAGTCAATGTGTATGTAAACAGTTTACTAAGTGGTATGAAATTGCTTTCTAGAATAGCTGTACCCAGTCCATATTTCCACTGGCAGTATATAAAGGTTCCTGTATCCTCATATCATTGCCATCAACTGGTATAATTTAGCTTTCTGACTTCTGCCACTATAATACATATAAAGTATATTCAATGATTATTTTAATTTGCATTCCACTGATTATTAGTAAGTTGGAGTATCTCTTTCGATGTGGGTTAGAATTTTGGTTTCTTTTTCTGTAAATTGCCTATTTGCTAATTTTTCTGTTGTCCTTTTCTGTGGTCGTTTTCTTTGCCTTCTCTGTGCTTCTCAAACTATCTGATGTGAATAACTCACTCTAATGAGTTTTGAAATCTGTCACATACCAATAGTTTTATAAATAAATATACATAACTTATTAGAAAAATAAAATCTAAAATATATACAGAACAAAATCCACATGTATTTTTATTATTAAACTCAACAGACATTACATTTCAATAAACATAATAAGAAGAAATACAACATAGAGAAAATAAAACTGATGCATTGATTGAAAGTAATCCTACAGGCAAATAATGTAGCTCACTATCACACTCAGAAAATGTTGCACTTCACAGTTGTAACTACATAAAAAGTCACATGTGAAACAGTGATTCCTCATAGTAAATGCCTATATGCACAATTCGAATAAACACTTTGCTAATCAATCTTTAAAGTTTCAAATGTGAATGAGTTTGATCCTTGAATGTTTACCTACCTAAGTTGGATTAACATCAGTGCTACTGTAGGGGCTAATGTATTTCTAAATTGTTCCTATGATTTGTTTTAATAGCTCTCAGAGTAGAGAAACCAGCATTTTAGAGGAATATTAATAAACATATTGGGAAGAGATTTTAAAGCAAGTCTGAATAAAGCAAGTCTTTATTTTTAACTCTTATTCAAAATAAAGAAGTATTGTGTTTACAAAATTCATCATCAATGCTTCATTGTAGCCAGTCCCAATAATTTATCCTATAAAGTTAAGGTTTGTTTTTGTTATTATACTTTAAGTTTTAGGGTACATGTGCACAACATGCAGGTTTGTTACATATGTATACATGTGCCATGTTGCTGTGCTGCACCCATTAACTCGTCATTTAACATTAGGTATACCTCCTAATGCTATCCCTCCCCCCTCCCCTCTCCCCACAACAGGCCCCGGTGTGTGATGTTCCCCTTCCTGTGTCCATGTGTTCTCACTGTTCAATTCCCACCTATGAGTGAGAACATGTGGTGTTTGATTTTTTGTCCTTGTGACAGTTTGCTGAGAATAATGGTTTCCAGCTTCATCCATGTCCCCACAAAGGACATGAACTCATCATTTTTTATGGCTGCACAGTATTCCATGGTGTATATGTGCCACGTTTTCTTAATCCAGACTATCATTGTTGGACATTTGGGTTGGTTCTAAGTCTTTGCTATTGTGAATAGTGCCGCAAGAAACATACATGTGCATATGTCTTTATAGCAGCAAGGTTTAATTTGAATTATCTTTTAGTGAAAAAATTGGATTCTGGGTTTGTAATTTTTATGTGTTGTTCTTCTTTTGAAGAAAAATAAAATTCAGCCCAGGTGCAGTGGCTCAGTCCTGTAATTCCAGTACTTTGGGAGGCCAAGATGGGCAGAACAATTGAGGTCAGGAGTTCGAGACCAGCTGGCCAACATGGTGAAACCCCTTCTCTACTAAAAATACACCATGCCACCACCTGGCATGTTGGTGCACACCTATAATCTCATCTACTCGGGAGGCTGAGGCAGAACCGCTTGAACCCAGGAGGCAGAGGTTGCAGTGAGCCAAGATTGTGCCACTGCAGTCCAGCCTGGGAAACAGACTGAGTGAGTCTCCGTCTCAAAAAAAATAGAAAAAAGAAAAAGATAATTCAAATTGTCTTATCAAATTTGTAAGGTTTTTAGTTATAACTTTTCATAGATGTGCAATATCAAGATCATTATTTATACCATTGAAAGCTGGAATATGTTGTAATGATCTGTAGAAACTGTTTCTGTTAGTTTCTAAATTTTCATATTTGCTCTTCAATCTTATCTGCCATTTTAAAAAGTTGCCTTCTTTCCTTGCATTTAAGTATCAAAATCATTAAAATTACAAGATACATCAGAAAAATAAGCAAGTCCAAATGCCAAATTAAAATTATTTTAAAGTCGAAAACACAGTTAACTTAGCAGAATCACTAGAAGTTTACTTTGTAGTCGTACATTCTTGAAATAACTTTTCCCCTTGATAACCATAGCACCTCAGCATTCAATAACAGTTGGCTATGACTGACTTTCATATTATCACATAATAAAGAAATGGTATCTAATTTAGTGCACTTTTTATTATGTCACTAAGCAAACTATTTAGTTCGGCTGTTGGTTTTTTGTTTTTGTTTTTGTTTTTGTCTATTTTAAACAGGGTCTGGCTCTGTTGCCCAGGCTGGAGTGCAGTAACACAACCTCAGCTCACTGCAACCTCCACCTCCCAGGCTCAAGTGATCCTCCCACTTTAGCCTCCCAAGTAGCGAGACTTCAGGTGCACTCCACCACACATGGCTAATTTTAAAATTTTTTCGTAGAGATGGGGCCTCCCTATATCACCCAGGCTTGTCTCAAACTCCTGGGCTCAAGCCATCCACCTACCTTGGCCTCTCAAAATGCTGGGTTTATAGGTGCACCTGGCAATCTTGTTTATAGTAAAGACTTTTTCTTGTTTATAGTAAGACTTTCTTGATAAAGGAAGCATCACATTGATTTATATTCCAGCAAAGCTCTTTAGTGTGAGTAACTATTCCAGGATGTTTTCATGACATTTCAGCTCTTCTATCAGAATACATTTCCCCATAAAACTTAAACTTCAAAATAGATTTGCTAACAATGCAATTCAACTTTGTTTTATACATTTCAGAGCTAGTTGATTTATTAGCAATAAGTAGAAAAAAGAATTATTTCTTCATATCACCATAATGTTTACATTGCATATATAGTAAAAGAATTGCCATATTAGCAATAACTGTGAAATAATGAAGTTTTGGTAACATATTTGACAGCTTTATTTGTTCTATGTGTTGGCTTTCCATATTATTAGCAAGGTCTTGAATATATTGATTTATGGTGTCCTTGGAAAGTAGTACTTGAACTACCTTCTTTGCTATAGATGTGCCAACATCTGCAAGCAAACATCCTTCACTGGTCTTGTATTCTTCCAAATATAAGAGTATACTTTAAAAGAAGCCCACAAATCACTGCTTACATGTGACATATGAAACTGTTTACACGTGACATTTGATTCTGTTGGCTTTTTATTCAATCTCTTCTTTTTCAAGGAATTCTGCTTTTCAACTTATTTTATATGTAAATGCCATTTCAGTTCTGGAAGTTTCATTTCTTCATCAGCCAGTACCACTCCACATATAATACTTAGTGGTTTATCACTTTGCTACCAAATTTAGTTACAAAACTAATTCTATATGAGCGATTATACTTCCACATAGACATAGTACGAATTTGTGTGGTCTTAATTTCTTTGAAACTACTTCCATCATCATCATTCTGTCTAGCACTTGTGCCACATTCAGAAAAGATGTATCTTTTTTGACAAAAAAAAAAAAAACCTAGGGGAACTTGTTTTGTATATATTTTAAGGTTAAAAAGAAATAGTACAAAGTTTACTTTCTTAATTTAACTAATAAGGTTGAATTATAAATGTAAAATCAGCTTGCTTCCTTGCTACTTCAAGAACAAGACAATATTCTTGCCCATCTGCAAATGCCAGCAAGACTCCATGGCCTGACCTAGTTTAATAGATTGGGGAAAATAGAAGATGATCTGCATCTAAAGGAAATAATTGACTTCACCAGACGCAGGTGGTAGAGAGAACAGAGAGCACATGAAGGAGGCAGAAGAGTTGGCATGGAGAGGCTGCAGGTTCTCTGCCTGGTGAAACTAGCTACTACTAGCAACAGGGAATCATGCAATAGCTGATTCAGGACCTGCAGTACATACAGTAGCCAGATGTCACCTGTGCTAAGAAGCAATGATTGCTTCTCTTGTCATTGTCATCCAGGAAGGTCAGCCAATAGCAAGTTGCCTGAGGATTGTCCAGCAATAATAAGCTTTATTTATGTCTGGCCACATCTGATAAATTGAAGCCCAGGATATACTCCTCAGGTCCTTGTAATGAGGATGTCCTTCCATATCTAAAGAGGTGACAGTGATACAAAAGGGGAAGATCCCAGCACTTACACACGATGGGGGCAGGGACAAGAAGAGGGAGTGGTGAAAAACAGACTCCATTAGACCATACAGTGTCCCCCACTAACACACTCAATGAAGCAAGCAATTAGACTTTATTTTTTTGTCCTTATTTGTTTTCAACTCCACCTGTATCACTACACTCCATCATTATCTAGACTATAAACTCCTTGAAGATGAGGTTGAATCATATTTATCTTTGTACCTGTAGCACATGACAGATTTCCTGACACATGGTACATGGTACATCTTCAGTGAATACTTATTGAAGAAGTGGATAGGTAGACAGATAAAGGAAAGGATGGGTGGGTGAGTGGACGAATGGATGGATGAATTTAAAAATAAATAATGAAACAATGAATAAAGAAATTGTTTTTCCCTAAGATTCAGAGAAAATTTGAGAAAGATTTTGGTTACTACTTTGGGCTAGGCAGTCCACCAATCACTGATAAGTTTCATCATCAGTGAAATGGAGATGATACTACCTACCACACTCGTATATCATGAGGATTAAATGCATTTGTACATGTGAAAGTACTTTAGGAAGCATAAGATGATATATAAGCATTAGAGATTTTTATTTTATTTCCACCTGATTTTCATTTGAGATTATTTTTCTCAACTTTAGGATGCATGATTCAGTTGGTAGAATATTAAAAGCGTAAATTCCCACCCTTATCCCCAGAGAATCTCATCCAGAAATGTGACAGATCCCAGGAATTCCCATACTTAAGAAGCTTCCTTGGGAATTGTGATGAGGTGGTCTACAGAGTGCACTTTGAGAAGCACAGATTTAAGGGAAATGATATGACAACTGCTTCCCCACTACATTCTAGCAGAAGAGATGTACAGCCACAGAATGACAACAGAGGGCAAAGAAGCCATGTCCACACATAGACCTAAGTCAGTTATTTGTAAAAAACAAACTCAATCTACATAATGATATGGTTTGGCTCTGTGGCCCAACCCAAATCTCATCTTGAATTGTACTCCCATAATTCCCACATGTTGTGGGAGGGACCCGGAGGGAGATAATCGAATCATGGGGGCAGTTTCTCCCCTAGTGTTCTTGTGGTAGTGAATAAGTCTCATGAGATCTGATAGTTGATAAGGGGAATCCTGTTTCACTTGGCTTTCATTCTTTCTCTTGCCACTGCCATGTAAGAAGTACCTTTCGTCTTCTGCCATGATTGTGAGCCCTCCCTAGCCAAGTGGAACTGTAAGTCCATTAAACCTCTTTTTCTTCCCAGTCTTGGGTATGTCTTTATTGGCAGTGTGAAAACAGACTAATACACATAGCTTTGGGTTTATTCAATGTTATAATCATATAAATATCTGAATGAATTAGGTAAAGGTGTAAAGGATTTGAATTTTCCTAACATTTATGTTACATCTATTATAAAGCATCTGTAGGAATCACCTAAGCTAGGTGAGAAAATCACTTTGTATATAGAAATTGTTGTCACAAATGTGCTAAAAAATGCTAACATTCTCACAGCTTCAAATGCATGCTGCCCTAATTTGAGTTAGTCTAAAAGCATGCCATTGTGGAAGTGATATATATAGTCTTAGAAAACACAATGCTCAATAGGCTAAGGTGTGCATAACGTTTGTCCAACTCTAACTCATCCAGTTGTGGGCCCCCAAACTCATGCTCCTCCCTTCCCTGTCAAGGAAATCTTCACAACACTTCTGGAAACCATTAAATACTTTCAATCCTCAACATAGTGTTGGACTCTTTCTACTCTTTCTGCTCTGGCAATCAGAAAAAGAGAACACGCCTCAGCAAAGTCACTTTTCAGTGGCCCTCCTGCTGCTGGTGCTGATGTCACACTGTGCCAGTATCCTAAGACACAGAAACCAGCCCACTGATAAGGGGAGAAACACTCCCTCCTCACCCTTCAAATGACTTTATGCCACACTCTGTCACAATTATCCCAAATGTTAAGCTGCAGGGCAAAATTTTCTCCAAATACAGAATGTGAAAGCCATCTTTCATTTCCACTTTCCCTGAGACTCAGACCAGAGAACGTGAGAGCCGGCCAGAGAACTGACCTCTGAAAACATTCCACTCCCTCTCAAACAGTCTGCCCCAGAGCAAAGATTGTCTTGCTTTCTCTTCCTCTACCATCCACACACTCTTGGGCACAGTTTCTATAAGTGAGGTTTCCAGAACCTTCTGCATCAGGTCTCCAGAGGTACTTGTAAAATAGGCAGATTCTAGGGTCCCGCTCTGAGCTGCTGGCTCAGAATCCCAGGCTGGGCCTTGGAATTTGGCTCATGAAAAAACAGCTTGAATAATTATTATGTGCTCTACATTTTACAATCTTTTAGAATTGTATGATTAGCTTGTTCTACCCAAGGGTTTTATTTCACTTAGAAGCTTTGAGATTAAATGAGCAATTAATCTCTTAAAATTTGAGACTTAGATATATAATTGCAACAGTTTCCTTAAACTATCTAGTCTTAAATAGGGTTAACCAGAAAAGATCTTGAAATTTGAAAAGGCTTTATTTGCATTTGTAGGGAAACATAATTTTATAATGATTATCTACTCTGATTATGTTTCTGTCACATTGCTTAGAGAAAGTGGTATAAGGGAAAATTTCCTAAGAGTCTCTGTTTAAAACATGACAATAAACATTACACCAGATTGAATTGAAATTTCATTTCTCAGAGTAAAATCACATACCAGAGCTAGCAGAGCTAGCACGAAAAATTTAGTTAATAGAAGAAAGCAAGCTGATGTTGAAGAAAATATGGTGTCTTCCAGTTAGTCGATAGCACAGATTCTGTGTGACAGTGAGGTAGAGAGTTATGCATAAATGAAAAGAAAAACTTGGAGAACATGAGTGCTATTGTCCTAGGTCAGCAGACAGCATACAACAAAGCTTCCCCAGGGCCCTAGCAATGTAGAGTCTAAAGCTTGCATGGGCCAGGTTAGACAGGATTTAGGAAAATGGAATAGGATGGATCCTCTTTATAAAGGAGCAGCAGTTCATATTGATAAGTTTTAAAAATGCTAGGTGAACCTTGTCCCAGTATGGGCTGGCACCAATGGTTGCTGGATCTGATGTGAGACAGGGTTGTGCAGTAGAGCTTTTGGAGTCAGTTATCAGCTTCAGGCAGGTGGCCAACGTATGAGTCAGGAAAGTTCCAGACCCATTTCCTTAAAGAGGAAATAAAATTGATAGCAGGAATTGGATGAAAGGGAGTCAGTATACATCCTTACATCCAAATGGAATAAGAAGCCTGAGCAGATAGTCTATTATATGAGGGGAAGATTAAACAGGTATATCCCACCTATTTTCAGAAGAGAGCAAGGGGTAGTGACATACAACAACTGACTTCTTCAAAACTCACTTTGCTAATGAAGATGGAGCTCCTAATATAAAATCAGGCACTGTTGTTTTCCTCTGGTGCAGAGATTGGGCATGGCTGTATCTGTAAGGTATAAATGTTTTATTTTTCTTGCTTCTGGATTGTCCAGAGGCAGATAGGTGGTAAATAAGTGTTTTCTGGAGGAATGATGAAAGAGTTCTGAACCAAAAGCAAACTTTTATCCCCAATCTAAAGAGAAGGTCGGGAGAAAGGAAAGGGGCTCGGAAAATTAGGTGGTGTTTCTACATATGACTGAAGCAAAAAAGAATGCATGGCCCATGAATATGTTTGGCCATCAATAGAAAAGTTCCCAAAAGTAACACATTATTTGAAATTGAAAATAATTTACTACTGAGAATAAAATTTCCAACACTCTAACAATTTCACAGAAAGTAAGAAATAAAAAAGAACAAAAAAACACAGAAATATTTCCTTGTATGTTGCAATGATGAGAATTGGGAGCAAAAATTTTATCAATGTTTATATAACACTGCCCAAAAGAGAGATATTGAGTAGCTAATTTACATGATATTCTTATCATCAGAACAGTGTTAATATACGTGAAAATATTCTGTAATTTTAAAGGCACTATATCAACAGTGTTTTTAATTGTCCTTCATATTGTGGTGATTTGTGACCTGAATTAGAACAGGGTCCTTCATGGATTCCTCAAAATAGGTACTCACCTCAAACACAACCTCATGATATTAAAGTCCTTTCCCTAGGCACCTTGTTACTTCAGAAGCAGCTAACATTTCTTACGTACTCTTTAAATGTCAAGGATTCTACTAAGGTGTTTTATATATATTATTTCATGCAATATTCTAGACAATGTGCATTATTACGTATTTCTTCATATTCTGCTCAGTAATGTTATATCACATATTACAAATTAATAGTCATAATGGTTTATAAGATCAATCTTTTGAATTTGAAAAGTGAATCAGTTCCTTGGGACCTAAACACTCCCTTAAAAGCTGATGATTCTACCCTATAGGGAGGTGAAGTCTTAAATACAACAATCACTCAAAACCACTCAAACTGCCCCACTGACTGTATTAATACTTTTACCCTATTTACAGTTTACAAAATGTGCCTTCCAAAAAAAATCCAATTTGTTTTCAAAAACATAAAGCCTATACATGAAAAATTTAAAATTTTTTATCACTTTGTAAAATGGGTAACAGTATATTTCTTTTTTAGACAATTCTCTATGGATTCTATGATTCCCTTAATTTTCCTTTAGGTGAGTAATCAGTGTTGAGTAGCTCCCCACACCCAACAAAAAAAGTCTTCAACCTGCCTCTACTAGACACTGTCTTGGGAAGAAACAAGCAGAAATAATGCACAGTAGGAGGACATGCTAGGATAATAGAAAGAGAAATACTATCTATACATCTCCAGCAGAGAAAGACAGCACATATTAATAAAGTAACGATAAAACACTTTCAACTTCAGCAAATGGGGAATTGCATGGAAAAATGTGATTTAACAAAAACTTTTAATACTAGCTCTGTATTATTAAGACGGCAGATAAGAGCACTTAATAAAACACGTGTCAAGCAAAATCCAGGCCAGGATCATTTGAGATAAAATAGTCTTATTATCATACAATCTATAAAAGATTAATGAAACCTTTAATGCAAAGTATTAATGGAGCTGGCTGCATTCTGACCTTACCTAATCTTTTTTAGGACTTTGGCAGTTTCAAGTAGGAAGAATAGCTTTATTCAAGAAGGTTTCTTTTCCTTCCAAAATTTGTTCACATTTAAGGAAATGCAGATATATGGGCTTTTCCCTTAACACATAGTGCAGTTATCATTCATATATAATCGTCCATAAAACTCCTTGAAAAGTCTATTAATCTCTTTGGTATCCATGAATTTAATAACATAATTGTTCTTAACTATAGCTATAGTGGAAGAACTGCTTGCCTGTTTTCTTGCTAATAACCCACCAGTTTTATGGCTGCATTGAAATAAAGCCAGTTCTAGCAATAAAGGTGAGGGTGACCCAGATGAATTAGATAATTGCCTTCATAGCCTATTGATCTTCTATTTGAGGTCTTTTAGGTCTGAATATTTTCTCTTTACTAATAGAGCTTCACATTTTTCTCAGTCACTAAGAGATTTAGCTGGATTCCAAAGAATATTAAGGAAATAACTAGAAGGCAGGATTGTATTAAAATATACCTGGGTTCAAAAGTTCCTTCAATTCCCAACATCAAGATCACATTTTCTATTCAAACATGGGGCATATAGCTTAGCAACAGGTAACTTATTCATTCACCCACATGTGTCAATGTGCTGTTCACTATGTTAAATCTACAGATTTAAACAAACAAATCTGTTCTGAAGAAGCTCAAGAGTTTGGTGAGAAGACACATAGGTAGATATATAAATATCAGCAAAACAATAGAGGTATGGAAGGATATTATGAGAGAAGAGATGAGAAAAACGTAGCCTGACCTAGGAAAGAGGAGAAAAATATACATGCACAGAATACAATGTGACCCAAAGTCCCTTCCCAAGTTAAGATTCCTTGCTGCAAAAAAGTGAGAAGCTATTAAAGATCCTTGGCTTTGTACAGGAGAAAGAATGCCTCAGTCACTGAAACTAGAATAATAATAATCAAGATATTTGTAATTGAAACAAATTTACAGGTAGGCTGAGCATTTTAAAGGAATTAAAGACCTGGCACATAGGAGCAATAGCAAAGAAAATAGGGATTTAATATTTCACGACACAACTGCAGAAGACTAATTGTGATTGGAACCACAAAGATCATTCTAGGAAATTTAGTACATGAGGTTCTTACAACCAATCTGACCTTCTGTCAGTCGGCTCGCTTTTTTTGAGATCCACAATTTGCATTTTATTCTAGCCTTCATGTCCTTCTTACTAGAATTCCTTCCCCTTCTCTTTCCAACAATTTAGTTCCTGACTAAATTGATGGTCCAACTCTAGACTTATCTTCCCCACAAAACTTACAGTTCCAACCAACACTGCTTTTTCTCCAGGTCTGTCCACACAACCCAGCCATTTGAATCACAAGGATTTAGAACTGGACTAGGAGGCCTCCTCATTTTACACATAAGAATGAGAAAGCCTACAAAGTTTCAATGACTTGTCCAAGATCACATAGCCAATAAGGATCAAAGTCAGAAATAAAATATTTTTATTCTAAGGTCTTTTGGTTTCTGGTTCAGTAGGGCCTCTATTTCATGATGTTAATTCTTGATTTAATGTTTGTATGGTTTAGATATAATCCTTATTGAAATAATTTTTACTGAATTTGTGTGGTAACCACAGCTTGCCATCAACCTACTCAACTTTACCCTTCTCCTCCCCTTCATCTTTTCAGAAAACCTGTGTGCTGATGGTAATTGCTCCAGCCCTCTTTGTGACAAACCCATGAAAACCTCCTTTAAGGAAAAGTTGAATGTGATCATTCCTTGCATTGAACTGACTGAAAAATAAAAAATGCATCTCTCCTAATACAGTTTCCTGGATAAGCATACAGAGTAAGGAATTGAGAGGTTCAGAGAATCTTCTTAAAAACTCAAAAATCATACCACATATGTAGCTGTACAATCTACTAATATCTGCTTTTAATTTGGGAGTTCTCCCTTTTCCAAAAAAAAGACGCAAATTTTCGGCTTAACAAAAACTTTATCTTCTACCTTTATGATCAACAGTGCCAGGCACAAGTAAATGCCTAATAAATTCTTACCAGTTTTATTCAACCTAACTTTTAATAGAATAACATGCAGCTAGAATCTACAAATGTATGCTCCTGTTTACATTATCTTCATCCATGAAGGTAGTTTGCTTATTTGAGGATATGAATGCTTAGTTTTCTACAGTTAGGAAAAAAAAATTTGTTTTGAGATGTTCAGATCTAATAACAGGATTTAGAGTCGAAGCTGCTATCTCTATGATGGGAACAACAGAGTTCCCTGTCATGTTCTAGTGTTGCAGTACTGCACAATTTCTTTAGTCTTTGAATCTCATGTTGCTACCAAATTAGTTCTATAGTGGAGGCTTAAGCTTGGGCCATGCTGAGTCCACCATTTCTGAGTATCAGTCTACATAAGGAAGAAAAAGAATGCGAGAGAGCAGCAAGGACTATCTGTGCCTTCTCCCAGACTTAGCAACTTATGTTAGAGCTCTGTGGAGAGAGAACTGCTTGCAGATGTTCTTCTTAAAAGGGGGTTCAGAGACACAGAGCATAAGCAGCATCACTTCAGAGTTCCTGGGGTGAAACAGATTGGGGAAAATGAGAATGCATTTCAGAAACAGAAAGAGATGGTGTGCTTGGCACAAACCACATCACTGTCCTGATGGAGACCCATTACCCAGCAGTGAGGTCAATGATGAGCACCTCCAGCAGCTTCATTGCTGGAAGATGCTGACGAGCAGAACTGGGACCTGAAGGGAAAAATCAGCCAGATGTGGGTGGTAACTGTACACTTGTCCATGTTGAGAAATACTCTGAGGAATTTCCAAAAGATGAGGAAAATTTTGAGGGACACTGGAAGGTTTGGCTTATGCAGATGAGAGCTCAAGTCAAGAAAATATAATTTCCTACTGTTCATGTGATAAAATTGTACCAACCTCCCACCCCCACCCAGTGACATCTGTGTGGTCCCATAAGATGCTGAACACATAAGAGAAATTTAAACAAATGAAGCATTTGTTGATAGTACTTATTTATCTATCATTCAACAAATATTTATTGAGAAACTAATGTGTGTCAAACACTGTTCTAGGCACTTGGGATAAGTCAGTGATCAAAAAGCAAAGATTCTGCCCTCATGGAACTTACATACTATCATAAGAGATGAAAGATTGCAGTTTATTTCTTCTTAAATTGCAAAAATTATCACTTTCATGAAGAAACTAATGCCCAACTACATTATAGGCTCCATGAGGGGAAGAACTACATCTGTTTTGTTCAGTGTTGTGTCCCCAGAAAACTGCATAGTATCTGGAACATGATGGGGACTCAACATATGTTTGTTGGGTAAATGAAACATCTAAATTGTCTTACCTAACAGTAGAAGGTGTTACTATACTCTGTAACATGTGCGCTTTTGCATCCTTCCACACGTTACAAAATAACTTCTACTTTTATTGCCATAGAGGAACTCACATAGGATAATAAAATAACCAACCCCTCTTTATTTTTTTACCTGATAATTCCCATACATACGTTTTTAGGAAAAAAATATATTTAATATTGAATTCCTTCTGAGTTCCTAATAGCGTATAAACATATATATAATGTCATATACAAATATCACATACCACAGGGTGGGTGGACTGTAGTTATATTAGTTTCATAAAAAATGTTATATGACACATCATGCCAACAAGTCAGTCATGTCCTGCACAAATCAGTTAGGTTAAATACAGGTTAAGAGACCTCAGACCTCAGCCATCAGTGGAGGAAAAAGTTTCAATCATTAAAAAAAAAAAGGCTCTATTATTATCAGCATCTAATTAGCAACTAAAATTGTAATGTATTTAATTTTCTTCTAAGTTTTCTATCTGAAAATAAAAGATAAAAAGAATGAGAGTCATATCAAAAGATCTAGGTTTCAGCTACTCAGGAGGTTGGGGCAGGAGAATAGCTAGAACCCAGGAGGCAAAGGCTGCTGTGAGCCAAGATCGCGCCACTGCACTCCAGCCTGGCCACAGAGCGAAACTCCATCTCAAAAAAAAAAAAAAAAAAAAAAAAAAAAAAGCTAGGTTGTGTATTCAGTCCTCAGGTAATTCACGCTGACTGGATGCTGAAGAAATTAACATTGTTTGAGAACACACCACAGAGTATCCACCAGTGGCACCCAAGGCTGTCAAGACCTTCCAAGAAAAAAAAGAATTTAACCACTTCTTTTGATGAGAATAATCCTAAAGATACTATAATAGAAACTGCGCAAAATATACTACTGATATCAAGGAATCTATTTAATTTAGATCTTCTTTAAAGAGTAATATTTCTCATACACCCTGAGATTATAGGGTACCCTTAAAATTACTTTGCATAGATGAAACTTCACTAACAAGGACATGAAAAACTATAACATGTCAAGGACTATGGATGTAATCAAATTAATTGAGATTATTCACAACAGTGATAAATTAGACATAGAAGCTTACTAACCTTCATTTTATTATTTACCCTACATTTTTATGTGCAAAATCAAAAGTTGTTTTTATCACAATATCTCAGAGAAAGATTATTAATATTAATACAGTTTTATAGAATTCAATTGACAAAAAATACATATTGAGCTTCCCACTCTCTCCAAAGGACAGGGTACAGGAACTTCTGTAAATAAACAGTCTTTACAACCCAGGAGCTTGCAGCCTGGAAGTGGGAAACGACTTGTAGAAAAGAAAACTCTAAATGTTAACAATGTCATAAAAAAAGGTGCAGAATACCATGGAAGTTTTTGTTTGTCTGTTTGTGTTTTTAAGGAAGGAATAATTGCACGCAATTATTAGGATTAGGGAAAGTTTGGGTTAAATGGTATTTGAGGAGTCTTAAAGTCTGGGTAAGATTTCTGTATTCATAGCTGAGAAACATTGCAAGCAGATGGATCATATCAACCAATTTGGTTTGGAAGTGAGGGTCAAGTGAGATAATATACATGAACATGTTCTGATTCTACATGCATTGGTTTTGCGAAGTTCTAATTTTAAGTGCATTGCTTTCATAGAGCACTTGGAAACTTCAGTTTCCAAGAACTACTTAGCTCATGTCTAATTTTAATCTTAAAATATTCAGGAATTGTATGTAGTCAGGAATTCACATTTCCATTTTCTAGCTGGACACAATATCTTAGTCAGTTTTCCATTGCTCATAACAGAATCTCTGAAACTGGGTAATTTATTTAAAAAAAAGGAATTCATTTCTTGTATTTATGGAGGTTGAGAAGTCCCAGGTCAAGGGGACACAACTGGTGAGAAACTTCTTGCTGGTAGGGGTGCAGTGCATCATGTGGCAAAGAGGCTGAGCATGCCAAGGTGCTAGCTCAGGTCTCTCTTCCTCCTATAAAGCCACCAGCTCCCCTCCCCCGATAACCCATTAATCCATGAATGGATAAATCAATCATGTCATGATCCAATCTCCTCTTAAAGGCCCTATGTCTCAATACTGCCACAGTGGGAATTAAATTTCAGCATTAGTTTTGTGGGGGACAAATACTCAACTGGTAGCTCCCAGCCTAACTGAAACTCAAAGAGGACAGAAAATTTGCCAAAGGCCATCACACTAATGAGTGCACAAAGCAGATTAGAACTCCTTATCGCTTCTTCTCTACCTAGCTAAGTATGTGTGTACCACAATCCTGTCTCTTCCTAAAATTTTAGTTGTTACCCAGAGAAATGTAGGCAGATGAGATCAAGTTATGTCTTATCTTTGCCATGAAAACATTAAGGAAATGTTTTCTCATTTCCATAGTATTGATTTTGTCTTCATTTATTACGTGAAGGATTGGGTTTTATTTTACAGAGAATTAAAGTTTCAAAGGATGAATTAAATTATCGTGAGAAAGAGCATCTTATCACCCATAAAAATGTAATTAAAAACATTTTCTCAGGATTGCTTTGTGGGTTAAATGAGGTAATGGGTATGAAAGACCTGGTGCACAATCGATGCTTAATTAGTGTATTTCTTCTTTAGCTTAATATGTATCAATAGTGTTAGAAGTCAAGTTTCTGTTACATACTAATTACACAATTTATTTCATGTTATCCTTATTTAATTGATAACACTTTAGATGAACCTAGACAAAATTAATCAATACCATTCTCAACTATAGTGAAACTAAGTAATTTTGAATATAACATGAAATATTTCCCTTACTCTAATGAATTTCTAAAAAGACCTTATTCAAAACATCATCCAGTAAACATCTGAGTGAAGACATTTTTATGATAAAATAATCCCACCTATAGTGTTTAATTTCTGAGTTAACACTGACAAAACAGTTCAGGTAATCATTTATGAAACAAAGAATGGGAATTTGGAGGCTATGTCCGGCCTGGTCATAGGTCAACAAGAGAAGCATCCATAAGTCATATCTGCATCACATGGGGAAGGATGGTTATTTGCAGTAAGCTATTTCTCAGACCATAAAGGGGTGGAAATATTTGTTTGCCATCGTTTTCCAGAAAAACAGGTCTCAGTAAAGTTCAACATTCTCCACGTTCATGGACTCCAGTGGGTCAGGAATTCGGGCTAGACACAGTGGGGAATGGCTTGTCTGTGCTCCATGATCCCTGAGGCCTAGGTAGAAAGATTCAAAGCCTAGAAACAGCTTGGTGGCTGGGACCTGCAATCATCTTAAGATGTCTGGTGCTTGGGTTGGGTGACTTGAAGACTAAGACTGCCTAGTGGAGCACCTCTCTATGGCCCTTCTGTGTGGCTAGACTTCTTCACATGATGGCAACCTCAAAATAGTCAGACTCCTTACATGGTGGCTAGGGACTCCAAGCACAAGTGTTCCAATGAGTAAGACAGGAGCTGCAATGCCTTTTATGACCTAACATCAGAAGTCACAGGGTATTACTTTTCCAGTATCTATTGATCAAAGCAAATACAAGCCCACCCAGATTCAATGGGAAACAAATTCGCCACCTTTTGATGAGGGAGGGGTGGGGGCACATTGTGTAATAGCATGAGAAAGGGAGATTTTATTGTTACCTTTCTAGAAACTATGATCTGCCACATTCTTCAAATCTCTATTATATATGCGTCATGGGGATATTTATGGTTAAAATATGTAAGTAGCATGTTAAGTGAATTTGGAGAAATAAGGACCATTGCAAAATGCAATGTCTTTTACCTTAGACTCAACAAAGTTTATAAAGACAATTTGAATACCCCAGGTAAATATTAAGTTGCATTCCATTATTTTTATTATTTTACCATTTCTATTGTTATTTTATAAAGTATTTTACAGATACATATATTTTTATAAAATTATGTAAATATATCATTTTCATCTAAGGATAAAACTTTACTGAGTTGGTGTATCATAGCCAAAATAACTTAGACTTTGTATTAAGGAAACTATAAATAAAAATTCCAGCCCAGTCACAATAGTTATGCTCCTCAGATGTATTCCCTATAAAAATTGAAAAATTGGGAATAAAGTAAGATGCCCACTACCATCACAATAATTTAGCATTATACTGGCCAGAAGACCTATTACACAACAACGACAAAGTAGTAAGCCCTCCTGAAACACATAAACTAATATTTAATCAATGAAAAACTCATGTCATATCATGTTCCCAGGTAGGAAAACATAATAAAGATATAAATCACCCCAAGTTAATTCATAAATTTAATACAATAACAAAAATACAAGATTTCGGAGGGGAAAACCTAAACAAATTTATTCTAAAGTTTATGTGAAATTTAAAAATAATAGCCAAGAAAAACAATCTGGAAAATAAAATCAAATGGGAAAGAGGAGACTTTATCCTAAAAAATATTAAAACATATTATAAAGTGACCCAAATTAATATATAACTAAACAAATAATTGGTTTATAAAATTAAACTTTCACCTCATGTAAATTAAGTCAACTTGCTTTATTTGGGAGTACCCTATATAAGATACAAAATATTCTGACATGTGTCTCATTTTGAAATTTTATTTATATCTTTCTTCATGTAAGTAGCTAATGTTGGCTAATTTAAGCCACTTCTATTCACAGCTGATCACATTTTTAACATCCAATGCACTGAAATATCACAAATTTCTTTCAAGTGTTTCTTACTAAATATAATGCTGTCTTACCCCAAATAATGATTAAAAACTCTAAAATTAAATCTATTTGCACTATTTGTAGGTTATCAAATTGCCCTGAAAGCTGTGCTAGCTTTCATTTGAAATACTTTTGCATATAAATTTAGCATTGGTTCACACTGGAGTATTTAAACTTTTATATAGCATATATAGAATATAGTGGAAGATATTAGAGCTCATTACCTTCCTCTGAAACAATTCAAAAAAGACCTTCTCTCCCGACTTCCATTTCAGTTCATCGTGATTTCAGTACTCTAATCCAGAAATTGGAAACTCCTGTTTCAAGGCTTCATCTTCCTCAGACAATGTCTCCAACTATGTTGGCTTCCAGGAGGATGATAGACTAGATAGTTCATTATACCCTCATACTTTAGAACAAGTACTTCCTCCATACAGTACATTCTTTAGGGTATCAGTGGATTTCCCAAAAGTGAGCAAAACTCCTATCCCTACCCACTTCAAAAGAAAAAAAAAGAAACAAAACAAAACAAAATCACACTAATCTGAATCATAGAAGAGATTGGAGACCAGATAGCAATGAACACTGGACAAAACAGAAGACTAGCACTGTCAAAATGTACAAGTAAAGGTAGCTGAACCTGAGAGACCTGCACTGATCTCGATTCCTGGAAAGAACCTCAGATTCAGAGAGCACCTGGCTACCAGATGAGATCAATTGCAAATCCTCTCTGAGGAAGGTATCTCTGTAACAGCCCCCAGGTTCCCAGTGATTATATTCAAGTAAACATGGCGTCATCATCAAATATCACCAAACACACAATGAAATAACCCATCATTAGTGAGACTATGGGGAAACAATAAACAACAGATTCATGCACTAAGTACTTCGGATATTTGAAATATCAGATAGGGAACATAATGTTTAAAAATATAATGAATAGAAATAAAAACAGAATCATAAAATGAGCAACCAAGAGAGTGTGAAAATTACTTTGAACAAAATAGAACTTGTAAAAGTGAAAAATTAATATTGTAATAAAAATCTGCCCTAGAAATGTATCTCACTGGTGTATCTTTCTTTCCAATTCCATTTCTACCTTGTACAAGTTTCTCATTAATTTACCTGTATTTTAAGAAAAAGATATGTAGTACTAGGATGTGCAACCCAGATCTGCTATTTCAAGACTGCAGAATTAATTCCCCCAGCTGCCTGGGGTGTTGGTAGTCTGCAGGTCTCAGCTAGTCCCTCTCTGGGACTTGTACTTGACTAAAGAACAATGCCTCCGAAGGTCACATTCTTCTGGGAGCAGCTCACATCAAATAACCTGTGGCTGTCAGAATAAAAAGACCAACTGTCCTCACCCCAATTTGAGACATTTGGTAACAGGGTCATCCCAGCTCAAGTTCCCAGAGGATTGACAGAGGTCTTTGTTGTGACTGCCTTACAGTTCAACTGCTATCCTTGCCCAAACCTGTTTTCTTCATTCTCCCAACAGGTATTGATTCTGAGAGCACTTCCCAGTAAGTGACCTGCATGCTCTATCTCAGAATATGCTTCCTGGGGAGCCTACTTATGGTCTCAATTCACTCCTTCAATTAACTCTCTTCTAGCCTAATCTTTATAATTTGCTACCTTATAATCTTGTCTTAGACCCAACTAAAACTTTCAATAGTCTACATCATTACAAAGAGCAAAAACACCACCTTTGTCTTGTATCACTATCTGGAGTGTGGTTATTTCTTTCCCACTCTGTACACCTATATTAGATCCCTTTCTTCAGACCTGTCATTCTGTTCTGTTCACATTCATTTCCAAGTCTGGTCTGGGCTCATGACCAGTTCTCTATCTGGAATTAATAAGCCTTCACCCCACCTCAAAACCTACTTTTATATTATCTTCCCTTTAACATACAACCTAATTTCCATTTTCTTTAAAATGCATTTCTTAGCTAGAACTGCTCAAATGACTGATCCAGCGGCCTGCTAGAGTAATCCTGTATAGCTTTGCACAGCTGATTGCAGATTTTGGGGGATTTTTATAGATAGTCAACATCACATTAGCAGCTTGAAATTAGCCACAGTGGGAGTATTTATACCACCAAAATAAGCAAATACTACAAATAAAGACTAACCTACAAGATCGTGCCATTGCACTCCAGCCTGGGCGACATAGTGAGACTCCACCTAAAAAAAAAAAAAAAATAGCCACTTGTCAAATCTTTTCCTGCACACCACCAAATTTCTGCTTCCTGTTGCACATGCCTCTGCTGCTCATCTGGCAACAAATTTCAACCTGAATGCTTTCTGATTTGCAGATTTGGTAGCCATGGCATCCCAAATAGACAGGATTATCTTTACGGCAGAGAGGATATTTTACACTGACTCATAAAACTTCTTTCCCCAGGGCCTTTTCCACAGTAGGAATTCAATAATTGTTTTTATAAGAGTAATGAATCTTCAGATTCATCCTGCCCAGAGAATACTGGGGAAAAAAAACAAGCAAATGATGGGCATGAGTTTTATTTTTCTAAGAGTGTGTGTGTGTATTCCCTCTATACTTTAAATTATTTACCCCTGGCATTCTCCTATATTTTTATTTCAGTCACCATATCATGGATTTTTTTCATATTCAATACAAAAGCACTCTATAATTTTCAGCTTCTATGACTTTTTCTCAGTAGTTTATTTTCTTTGCATATATATTTGCTCTTTACTTAATAATTTAGCCTTCCTTGAAAAAAACTTTTTCCAGAACTTATAACATGTATGACTCAAGGCCTTTTTCTCCCTGGATAATCATTCTTAATCAAAAGATGTCACTCATCACACTCCTGTTTCACCTTTTTGCCAATTGGGAATGGTTTTTTAATAAATTAATGATATTCTTTACTTACTGTTTAAAAGAATTAGTACAACAGCTGACTGCAGTTAATAGGATCTTCCAAGATAGCAATAGAAAATAAAGAGATTCATCTGCCTTTGTTTTTGCTGACACTCTGTACTGTGGCTGGTAGCAGCTGAGACAGGACAAGTCCTGCATATCACTTTAGATTGCTGAACCTTGTCAAGTAAGCTGCTCTTCTGCCTAAGGCTCCAAGGCTGTGTGCTGTCAGCACTTTTTCACCCTGCTGGGTCAGCATCACAATAGAAATCACATTCCCTATCTTACTTTTGGGACCAGTGGGCTGAGCCTTGCTAAGTGGAGAACGCTGTGTGACTTAGGAAACCAGGTTTGGCTTGTGAGCTGCAAACTACCTTGACATGGCCTCTTTCAATGGCAAAACAGTGCTACAGACACACTGTCCTGCCCCTCAAACAAGTTGCTTGGTTCTTGTCCTTCACTTTGTACACTTAATTTCCTAAATCAATGCATAAGTGCTATCTCCAGAAATTAGACGATGTGTAAGATGCACAGTGTGTATTACTGCATACATATTGTAAAGCTTCTAGCTCTGTTTTCATACAGACATGTTCATCAAATCCCTGATGTATAAAGACCTTGCTTTAAGAGATTTCACTGTTGTGCTTTTCTGGAGTAGTCGAGAAGCACTGGGTCATTTGTTCTTTGAATATGGGCAAAAATGATGTGCTAGAATGAGTGGTGCTATGTGTGTCAAAGTTATCACAGGTGTTGGAGGATCACTTAGCCCAGAAGTTCCTACCTCTCACTTACAGAGTGAAATATAGAGCCATTTTTTTCCCTCCTAGTTGGAGTAAAGAAAGAGCTCAAATCTGGGTCAAAAAACTGGAACACTTGACATATTTGTTAAGTACTGTACCTATGTTTGCTGTGATGCTTTTATATCACCTTTGGCAAGTGATTTAGCTTCTTTGTTCCCCAAATCTTCCCTGTTGCAGAGTTAAGACGTTTTTTCTTAACTCTACTTCTTAGAGTAAGTGTAGAAGGAGAAAGATGCCACTTAATAAACTTTTGGAGCTACAGATATAAGAAATATCTGAAAGAATGAGTTATCTGTCTCACCTTGAACTTTACTGGTCAAGACATTTACACAAAAATAATCCTTGGACTCCCAGTTTCAGTTCTGACATGTAAAGAGTTTGGAAGTCATCACTCCCATGGTTACAAGAAGCAGCAGCTGGATAAACTAAAAATCAATTACTTTTCTTGGACTCATTAGAGAATTAAGACTGCAGAACAATTGCCACCCCCAAATCTGTAGAAATGGGGACATCTACAGAGTCACATCTGAGATCTGTTACATGGAGCCAAAACCGCTGCAGCCATAAACTGGTCCAAACACTTAAATGGTAATTTTGGTCAATTGCTGGAGGCTGAACTCCTGGATGTCACAGTCTCAATGGAAACCTCTATACTTTTCATGGCTATTACCTTCAAGAATTCCAACAGGTTCTTATAGTAAAGATCCAAAAAATCAACCTCATAACTCTAGCAGGAGGAATGAAAAAGTAATCATGATGAAACACACCCAGCATGTTCTCCATAACAAAGGCCTAGTCTCCAAGAGAAAAGAATTGACCAGAGATTTATCCCATATTAGGGAAAGGCATACCTCCTACTGCAGCCTTCTCTTTCTTGTCTCACCTAAAGGGAGAAAAACATACCCAACAGGGGTCAACGTTTCAAGAAAATAGATAGAGAATGCTGCAACCAATTAAGGGAATAAGGGACAGAGGGGGAAAAGTGATACCATTGGAGATTCAACAGTAAAAGGTCACATCCCTGAGACACAGCCCCACTAAAATAGGGACATTTAGTCAAAAGATGATAGAATGTCTCCTCGCCACGCTGGCCACACCTTACCCCCACACCAACGAGGTTTGAGAATAATAACTGTGTATAGCTGAAAGATCTGCAAGACCCAGACTCTCTCTGAGCAGGAATATTTAGGGAAGCCCAAAGTCAAGAAGAGAGACAAAAACAAGGACACTAAAGAAATTTGAAGACTTTGGCACCTAAGCTTCAGTACATATTTAAAATAGCCCAACTCATAACAGATTAGCATAAATCCTCACACTAAAGAACTACTTATAGCAGTTTTTATTCTTGATACAACACATTCAGCATTCAACAAAAAATTCCAAGGGATGCCAAAAAGCAGGAAAATACACAGCCTGAAGAGACGAAGCAGTCATAACTCAGATATATAATGCAATATAATTATTAAACAGGGAACTTAAAATAACTGTGATTAATATGTTAATCTAATAAGAAACATAATAGAAAACATGTAAAAATAGATGGATAATATAAGCAGAGAGATGAAAACTCTCAGAAAAAAATAAAAATAAAGACAAGAAATCAATATTACTGTAACAGAAATGAAAAAACAATGTCTTCAATGGACTCACTGGTAGATTCAACACAGGAAAGTCAGTCAACTTAAGGATCCATCAACAGAAACATCTTTTACTGAAATGCAAAGAAAAAATAATAAAAAACAGAAGAAAACATCTAAAAACTCAGGTATAATTTCAAAAGGTGTAAGATATGCGTAATTGGAATGCCAGATGAGAAAACAGAAAAAAGCAGAAGAAAGATTTGTGATGGTAATTGCCAAGAGATTTCTAAGGTTAATAAAAATATCAAATCACAAATACAGAAAACTCAGAGAAAAACAAGTAGTATAAATATCAAAAAGAATTGCACATAGGGGTATAATCTTCAGCGTTCAGAAAACCAAACACAAAAAATCTTGGAAAATGTCAGAAGAGAAAAATATCTTACCTATAGAGGAACAAGAGTAGAAATTTTGGAGGACTTTTTTTTTTTTTTTTTTTTTTTCAGAAACCATGCAAGTAAGAAGGGAGTGAACTATTTAAGTGTAAAAATAAGAGGAAAAAAACCCCACTGACCTAGAATGATATATCCAGATAAATTATTCATCAAAAATGAAGAAGAAACAAAGAAACAATCAGACAAACAAAAACTGAGAATTTATTGCCAACAGACTTGTTCTGCCAGAAACGTTAAAGAAGTTCTTCAGGCAGAAACAAAATGATATAAATGAGAAACATCTATCTACATAAGGAAAAGAAGAACACTGGAAAAGGAATTAAAGAGGTAAAAATTCTCTCATTTTTTATATTTTAATAAATTAAGACAATTTAAAAAATAATAATAGTAACAATGTATTGGGTGATGACAACAATCTCATATAGATAGGAGAGAGGAATTTGGAATAATCTGTTATAAGACACCTACACTTAATTAAGTGGTATAATGTTATTTGAAGATGGACTTAGAATACTTAACAATGTATATTGTAAATTCTAGGGCAACTACTAAAAATAAAAAATAAAAAAGCCTAATAGATATGTTAAGAAAGATAGAAAAAGCAATCACATAAAATTCTCAATTAAATCTGGAGGACAAAGAAAAAATGCAATGAATAGAAAAGTTACAAATATGGTAAGTATTAATCCAACTATATCAGTAAATCACTTTAAATGTGAATGATCTAAGGAAACCAACTAAAGGGCAGACAGTGCCAGAGTGGTTAACAGAAATACACCAAACATATGTTATTTACAAGAAACCCACACTATAGAGAGAGACAGTTAAGTTAAAAGTTAAGATATAGAGAAAGAAATGCCATACTGACACTAATCAAATAAAAGCTGGAGTAGCTATTTTAATTTCACATAAAGCAGACTTCAGAACAAGAAAAGTTATAAGGTGTAAAGAGGCACATTAAATAATGATAAAGGAGTGAAGTCTCCAAGAAAACATAATAATCCTAAATGTGTATGCACCTAACAACAGAGCATCATAAATCTGAGGCAAAAACTGATAGAATCAAAAGGAAAAATAGACAAATACAGTATTATTTTGTAGAATTCAGCACCTGTCTTTTAGTAATTGATATATATAGCAGGCAGAAGATCACTACGGGTACAGTTGGCCTGAACAGTACTACCAATCAGTTTGATTTAACTGATATTTATATACTACTCCATCAACACCTGTAGAATACATATCTTCTCAAGCTCACATGGAGCTTTCATCAAGGTAGACCAGATTCTGGGCCACAGAACACACCTTAACAAATTTAAAGGAATAGAAATTATATAAAGCATGTTCATTCTCACTGAAATTAAACTAGAAATCAATAACAGATATGTAAATAGGCAATTCTCACATATCGGGAAATTAAACAACACACTTTCAAATAACCCAAGGGTAAAAGAAGAAATCTCCAGAAAAATTTAAAATATTTTGAATTAAATTAACATGAGAACACAACTTATCAAAATTAGTGGGATGCAAAAAAGGCAATGCTTAGATGGAAGTTTATAGCATTGAATACATATATTTAAAAAGGATGAAGATCTAAAATCAATAGTCACAAAGAGTGAAACAATGCATGCAATTTTAAAAAAAAATCATTTAGAAGGCAAGGGAATTCCAGGATAGAATGTATAATGTATAAAACAATCTGACTCTATTACAAATGTTTGAAACAACTTCAATGAAAAGCAAATGGAGGAGAGTGCTGACTTAAGTAACTTTGGAAATGAGTGGGTTCTGTAAAACTAAAGACAAAAGAAAGTGTGCATAAGCACTGAACTCTAGATGATCAATTTATTTCCCATAGAAATTGGCAATTAACAGCTAAAAGTTCTGATACTGCTATACATCTATATTAAAATTGAACAACTAAGTAAATAGAAGGCAAATGGTTGGAGCCAGGTTTTTCACTGTTGGAGTGAGAATTTATAGATAAGCCAAAGGAGTAGGCTAGAAAAATCAATGTGCTAACCAATTAGAGTTTGAGATATCAGTATGAACTGATTTAGTTTATGATAGCTTTTTTTTAGTTTATTACAGGCATAGATGATTACATATAAAAATATTTATAGATATGTGTATACAAATGTTAGTATATACATATATTTTCTTACCCTGTGTGTTGAGAGGAACCAAGGCTACTCCAATAGAAACTAGCACACCAAATGCCCAGATATTTATTTCTGATACCATTCTCAAATAAAAGGAATTAGTGTTCCTTAGAGAAATAGCTGAATCCAGGACAGAGGCAGAAAATACATACAAGGAGCCCAGAGCATCTTGTTCTGTCAGAAGTAAGTACTCAAAAATAAATAAATTAATTAACAAAGATGGGGGTATGTCAAAGTGACACAGAAACCAACTGAAGAAACTCCCAGTGGCTGAGCAACAAAATAGATAAAGTAGCATTAGATAACACAAAATATAAAAGAAATATCCATATATCCATACAAATATAATACAGATTGACTAAGTTAATAAATGGAGGAGAGAATAAATCCATTTTTCTCATGCAGAAGGACTCCACATAATGTATGTAGATACTCTACTCCCAAAGAAGGGAGGTATATTACTCCCCCTACGTGTGAGCTGCACATAGTGGGTCCAGTATAAAATGAGGCAGGAGACCTGAAAAGAGTGACCTCAGCCAGGTAATCAACTAAACGTCGTCGGTGATAAGTCATGTTGATATTATCTACCTTTGATATGATGTGATAAAAATGGTACTTGACGTCTGTGGCATTTTCCCAAAAATGTGCAACACTAGTCGAGTTATAAGAACAACATCAGACAAATCCCAATTGAGAGACATTCTACGAAATACCTGACTAGAACTTCTCAAAAGTTTCAAGGGCATCTAAAAAAAGGAATATCCATCTGAGAAAATGTCTTCAAAGTGAAAAACTACCTTGGACGAAGTTAAAACAGGCGGAAAGACTCTATTCAACTCTATTGCAATAAGAGAGAAAGATTAAACTTACCTCCATTGAAAGAAAAGTCTGTTGGGTTTTTAAGCACTGAATGAGCTAGTGGAAGAGTAATGGAAAACATTAGGGTGAGGTTAATGACTGGGATGAATTGTGCACATTGAGACATTTCTGAGTTTGCAAATGTTTTTCTCTGTTATTAAGCCATCTGTGTTTACTAATTGAAGCCCACTGAAACTAGGCTCCTACCCTTCCATGGAGACAGGCAGAAAGGGGTGCTATCTCCTCCCATGTTCATATTTCAAAGAGATGGTTCCCAGCTCCTTAAGAAAGACATCCCTGAGCTGTAAAACTGGCAAAAGGCTGGAAGAAGATTTATGCACATTTCAAAGGGACAGAGAAATAATCTACAATTGAAAGTTATCTGAAGTAAATTATTTAAGAAAATGGATATCAAGAAACTTGGGTAAAATCTACTGAATAAAGTACAGATTTTAATTAATAATGATTTATCAAGATTGGCTCATTATTTATAACAATGTTAGTTATTAGACTAACATAAGCTGATAACAACAGAGGAAATCACTATAGGGTTATGGGAACTCTTTCTACAGTCTTCATTATTATTCTGTAATTCTGAGACAATCTAAAATTAAAAATTTATTACAAAATAACAGCTCTTTCTTGTTCTGGGCCTCTGGACCTGATTTTCTTATTGTTTAAATAATACATTTGTTTTATGGCAATTATAACTACGGCAGCCACATAATACAACAATCTGGGTTTTTCTAAATGTGGCAGGCAGTCGTCATTATTGTTTTACAAGCAGGAGCTCTGAAAGGAAATCATTGCTCAGAGAAGGAAGACTATGTGAAGAATTGGTGAAGCCTTCTTTTCAGTGATCACTAAGAGATAAACCATCCTAAGAAGGGTGTCAGTCGATTTTTAGTTTGTTAAATATTGGGGTCAAGTATTGGCAAGCCAGAGTTTTATTGTCCATATGCTGCTTTACCATTCACCCTGACTTAAGGACAGAAATCCAGGGACCCATACCAAGGATACCACCCACGTTGATGCAAAAGCGATACCAGCAGCTTCAGCTTTAGGAAAAGCAAAGATTGAGATTTAGGAAGCTCAAGTAAGACTGACTAAGGGCTACTAGAGAGATGCTATGTTATGTTGTTAGATGGTTATGTTTCTAGTAGCCAGCCATGTTTATACTAGGAGAAAGCTAAGAAAAACAGGGCATGCAACTGATAATAATGTCTTTAATAGGTATTTGCATAAAATACCTAGCCTGGGCTAGGATAGTCTGGATTAGACTGGGCTGGGCCTCTGAGATTCTGATTTAGTAACCTACTAATCACGGGAAAAGGCCAACATAGATGGGCCACATCAGCTAAATTTTTCAGAGCAGTTTTGTTTTGTTTTTCAAAGTAACAGCACATCTTACCTGTCAGAATTCCTATTCTAAGAAATGGTATACACATAAACTAATATTTTTAAAGAGTTATTATGCTACCATCATCTCTCATGGGTACATTGCTGACAGCATAATGTGAAACTTTGATGCTCTTAATTGAAGGGGGTTTGGTTGATGGTAATTGCAAAGTGTTAGTGAGTTAAATTTTGTCAGTATGAAGACATTGTGATATATTTTCATATTATTACTGGAGTCTAAAAATTAATAAGGGTATAATGCAATTTTTTAAAGAGATTGATCTTTTAGTGTTACCCCTACAGAATTCTGATACTACATGGTCATAATCTGATTACAGCACTTACACCATTATATTTTGTGGGAGGGTTTTTCTTTGTTTTCTTTTGTTTACTTTTAATTTCTTGCCTCCTGCTCTGAATAGACTGACTTCAAGGATCAAGGCCACTGTTTCATTCACAAAATAACTGCTATACAAAATCAAAATATATTTGTAAATATATCTGTTGCAAGCAATGGGGAAATAATTGTCTATTTAATAAATGGTGCTGGGAGAACTGGCTAGCCATATGGGGAAAATTGAAGCTGAACCTCTTCCTTACATCTCATACAAAAATTAACTCTAGATGGATTAAAGACTTAAATGTAAAACCCAAAACTATAAAAACCCTAGAAGAAAGGCTAGGCAATACCATTGAGTAAACAGGCAAGGGTGAAAATTTTATGAAAGAAATGCCAAAATCAATAGCAACAAAAGCAAAACTTGACAAATGGGTTCTAGTTAAATTAAAGAGCTTCTGCACAGCAAAAGAAGCTATCATCAGAGTGAACAGACAACCTACAGAATGGGAGAAAATTTTTGCAATCCATCCATCTGACAAAGGTCTAATATCCAGAGTCTACAAAAAACTTAAACAAATTTACACGAAAATAAAAACAAACAAACTCATTAAAAAGTTGGGCAACGGACATAAAGAGTCACTTCTCAAAAGAAGACATTCATGCTGCCAACAAATATATGAAAAAAAGCTTAACATCACTGATCATTAGAGAAATGCAAATCAAAACCACAATGAGATACCATCTCACACAAATCAGAAGGGTCATTATTAAAAAGTCAAGAAACAACAGATGCTGGCGAGGTTGCAGAGAAAAAGAAACACTTTACTGCTGGTGGGAATGTAAGTTATTTCGACCCTTGTGGAAGACAGTGTGGTGATTCCTCAAAGACCTAGAAGCAGAAATACCATTTGACCCAGCAATCCCATTACAGTATACATACCCAAAGGAATATAAATTATTGTATTATAAAGATACATTCATTGCAGCACTATTCACAATAGCAAAGACATGGAATCAACCTAAATGCTCATCAAGATTGACTGGATAAAGAAAATGTGGTACATACACACTATGGAATACTATGCAGTCATAATAAGATACGAGATGATGTCCTTTGCAAGGACACAGATGGAGCTGGAAGCCATTATCCTCAGTAAACTAATGCAGGAACAGAAAACGAAACACCACATGTTCTCACTTATAAGTGGAAGCTGAATGATGAGAACATGTGGACAGATGGTTGGGGGACAACACACACTGGGGCCTGTTGGGTGGGAATGGAGGAGGGAGAGCATCAGAAAGAATAGCTAATGGATGCTGGCTTAATACCTAGGTGATGGTTTGATCTTTGCAGCAAACCACCATGGCACGTGTTTACATATGTAACAAACCTGCACATCCTGCATATGTGCCCCCGAACTTAAAATAAAAATTGAAGAAAAAAATATATACATATATATATATAAAGGCCAACTCATAAAAATGGCGTTCCAACTAAAAATTGTTTGATATTTAATATTTCTTGAAATCTCTTTGACCTATTTCCTCTTTTTCTTATTCCTCAAGATCTTTCTTTTTCTACAAATATGATATCAAGTAAAATCAGATCTCTCTTTTTCTATAAATATGATATCAAGTAGGATCTTGGTAGAAAGTGGTACTGTCTCCTCCCGTGTTTATATTTCAAAGGGATGGTTCCCAGCTCCTTGAGAAAGACATCCTTTAGCTGTAAAACTGGCAAAAGGCTGGAAGAAGATTTACACACATTTCAAAGGGACAGAGAAATAATTTGGATCCTTCTTTTTCAAGATCTTTCTTTTTCTACAAATATGGTACAAGTAAAAACATAATCTATTAATTCTAAGAATTTTTAAAATTAATTTACATCCTCACCTCCATTTCATATTTCCCCAAATAAGTGAAGGTAATCATTTACTGTTCATTAAGCCCCCCTAGTATGCAAGCAAGTGATTGGCATTAATTGAAACCCACAATACCTCAATGAGATCCATAAGCACTTTTCAGGGATCTTTCATCCACTGCTAAATGATATACCACTTTATTTTGTAAGGATGCATACTTCCTTAAAGAATAGCAGTCACCCAACAAACAGTTTTGTAAGGATACTAGAAAAGTACAGCTCATTAAAATCTATTAAGATAGAATTAAATTACCATGGTATATGTCATATGTAAAATTTATACTTCCAGGAATATTTTTAAAGTATTTTGGAGATCCAAATGCCAAATGTTCACATTAAAGCTTCCATCTTTTTTGGAAATCATTATTTTTGTGGAATGTTATGAGATTTTTTTGTCAGAAGGAAATTGGGAAAACATGAATTTGTATGACAGATTATAATGAGTGTGTTTTGCACCCCTGCTTACCTTGTTCATTGAGTTTCTTCACTTTTACCAAGTGCTCACTTGCCCAGCACTAATAGAGAAATCACAGTGGAAAAACTAACATAGGGAGACTACAAATTCTTGACTGTTGAGTTCAAAATGCCGCAGTCCAGGCTTAAGATAGGAAGATGTGAATGGTATATGATCTGTCGTAATCAGTAGCCACTTCCCTTCCCAATTTGTTACTCTACTAGATATTTGTTAATAGCAGAAGAGAAAGATTTTAAAAAATGGAGTTGGTTAATAAGAGAAGGGACAGAGCTGTACCTTGACAGGTCCCCCAGGACAAAATGTGGAGGTGGAAGCACAGGGAGGCAGCTGAACCCTTGGGTGAGTTTGAGAAATCAACAGTACAAAAAAAACCAATTTTCTCCTTTCTATCTTAATTTCTTATAGGATGGCAATCTCCTCAGAGTCCCTAGTATGGATGGAAGGAAAGAAAGGGCTACCTAGGGAGAAGTCCTGCTCCCTACATGGCCAAGAATAGCAGAGAAGTGACACTGAGCACTGACAAAAGCAAAGGTCTCATAGTAGGTACAAAGAGACATTGCAGTGGAACTTGGTGTCAACTGTCAGTGTAAGCACCGACAGAGGTACAGGGCCCCTGTGCAAACCACTAGAAAAAGAAGAATAAGATAAGATGATTAAATATCTTGGTATATTTAATACCAAGATATTTACCCAGAGCAGGCAAAGGGTACCCATAAACCAGACGCCCTATCCTTACCCATCAACACAGTTTTGCATGGCAGAATGTTTAAGGAGGGGAAAAAGGAAAGAAGAAATTCTAATTCTCTGAGTTAAATTAGAAATTACTAAGACAAATTTTAAAATGTTGGAATTTCCTCAGGCGATCATAGAGCAAGTGTTATTCCATCATATGAAATGAGAACTCACAGTAACATTGTTTAGGCATAGGAAAACAAAAATTTATAATTTGCACATGAGGATACGCTGTGAAAATTATAGCCCAGTGCTTATATGATGATAATAATGAATCTTATTATTAGAAAAGTAAAACATTTTAACTATTTCAAAGCTTCCTCTCTCTTTCTATATATGTGTGTATATATGTATATGTGTGTATACACACACACACACATTGTTTTATTTGCTGTTCCTGACAATATGGCAAGATAATTAAGGAAGAAAGTATTAAACTGTATCCTAGAGTATAATGTGGGGCTAACAAGTGATTTCCCAAAGGTCAATCTGTTAATCAGTGGGGCAAGACAGACCTAGAACCTTGATCTTTGACCGCAAGTCTGGTTTTTTACCAAAATGTCACCTGCATTTGAAAGCTTTAAAAAATCACTGGGCTAAATTTTAAAATAAATTGAGACATATGCCATCCCTAGAGGTAAATTACACTTCTGACTAACTCCAGGGGGACATGTCCTGGACACAGCTGTTCCAAGGCAGGCTGGATCTGATTAATCACTGCCCAACCAGGCATTTAGATCTACTCATTCATGGACAAGCCCAAGAGCAGATGTAATATTTTACTCCTCTGGGTTTCCAAGGACAAAGGAGTGCACAGAAGAATTAATCAAACAAACCCACAATGAATTATTCATTTTAAATAATATATTGTACACACATTAATAGAAAAGAATTAGCAAAAATTACATGTTGCAACAATATTAAACATCTTAAAAGTCTACAAATTCTAGCTATAGGTATATAACTAAGTGATGGGTTTATTAAAATTGTCGCTATTCAGAAGTTCCGCAATTTCTCAAATGTTTGAGGGTCAGTGACTCTACGTGCCCAATTTCAGAATGAAATCCAGTTCTCTCAAGGTACAGTCCACTCTATCATCCCAAAGATCAACTCTCTTTCTCCCCAAGTAGAAGAATAAAAAGTGTATTGTTCCTGAAAGTTGTTAAGGAATCATACTCTAAGAAACAACTCAACCACCAAGAAGAAGTTAGATCTGTATAATCATAAAACCCATTTAGAATGCTTCCTAAGGAAGTAACTGGCTTTGTCAAAGTAGCTCGAAAATCCTTTTATGAGAGCTGGGGACTCCCTGAAGAAAAGGGAATTACAGAATCCAAGAAAGTTTGATGTGCTAAAATATTAAATGTCTAAGAGTTAATTTACTCTTCCTTGGATGGTCCAAAGAGCCCCGGGCAAGGTTTTACTCTGTAACTCTCTTGTATCTGTGTTTCCTTGGCAGAGCAAGCACTCTCATGACTTCCATGGATAACTTTTTCTTTATATATGTTAATAATACAGTCGGGTTACATCTTATAGTCTTGGTTATTCTCTATGCTTCCATGTTCTGGTCTATCCAGCATTAATTTTTCAAATAAACTGTCAGAAGGCAGTCATGTTTTTCATATTTCTAACATATGAGAAACACCTCATTGGAACCCCTACATTGACCAGGACACTAAAATACTAGTCAGAATTCTGTGTCCTTGGTTTTAGAGGCCATTGTGTAGAAGAAGAAACAAAATAACAAATAGTAATAATAAAAATGAGGCTAGTAACAACAGCAATAGTAGTACTACATACATTTAGTTCTTAATAATTGACTAAAAATATTCACATATATTATCTCATTTAGGAGAAATAAAATACAACCATAAATCAAAGAACTACTTCGGACATTCAGGTGGGTCATAACAGTACATGCTGGTGAATCAGAGACAGAAAACAGCTGAAGACCTGGTCTTGTAACACACTAAACAAAACCCTAACCTGTGATTCAGGAAAAGTGAAAAGCACTAAGTCTAAAAGATCTGGTCTAAGTTCGTCTAGGGCACAAGACACAGTAACCAATGATGCACTTTTCAGTAATGGTTTAGACAAATTGAGTGCACAAGATTCCAAGTAAAAAGAATGGACTCATTTACCTATGGGTGGAGCATGATGCTAGGAAATCCATGGCAAAATTACATGGGCATACATCAATTTGAAATGGTTTTGGCAACAGGTAGCAGACTAGGCCAAATGAACTGTGGCTTCTTCTATTATCTATTTAACTAGATAGATTGCAGAAGTAGGCAGTCTGCAGATTCAGTCACTCAGTAATATCAGCAAGACTCCGGCTCTTTCTGCCTCTCTCATATTGGCTTGACATCTCGTGCTTTTACCTTTCCACAGTGTGTTGGTCCTAGCTTCAAATACCATGTTAGTTCCAAGCAGGAAGGAAGTGATGGGGGAAGGCTTTCTCTTTGTAATTTGAGGATGACGTTCCCCCAACACAGTTTGTTTGTCTCATTGGTCAGAATGAAGATGCATGGCCACCTCACAGCAACAACTAAAAATGGGGATTGAAATTATCATAACTGATTTAAACTAATCATTATTCATCCCTTAGAGGAGAATATGGAAGAGTTGAGATCAGGATTGAAAAATAAAAGGACTTAAAGAGAATTCCTTTCTCCTTTCTTAAAACTAAAATTTTAAAACAGACTTTAGCATCCTCACCCCTCTTATTGCCTCCCTCCCCACACTCATCTCTTGTTATCCAGTGAAGTCCAGCATACTGGCCCTTAGAGAAATCATGTTTGAGAGAGGTGCTCATATTCTGCATAAATTTTAAAGGCAGAGAATTTCCTGAAGGATTAGATCTAGGGTATGAGCAAAAGAGAAGAGTTGAGGATAAGCCCAAGTTTGGGGCCTGGACAATAAAGCCAACAACCAATATGGGAAAAATTAGATGTGTAGACATTCATTTATCTCTCAACATCTATACTCACAGAAACATGAAGATTGGTTTGTTTGATTTTTTTTCTGTATTAAAGTTCACAGGGCACCAGCCATTTGGGGGCTAAACTAAAACCAAGGACAGTGATGATCATTTGTAAATACTGTTGAGTGTTTATAAGCCAAGTTAGAGAAAAGAATAAATCATTTAGACAAGGTCTTAATTGATAATTAAATCGTAAAATTGATAATTGAGGAAAGAAGTGAGTGAAGGCCGGGCGTGGTGGCTCATGCCTGTAATCCCAGCACTTTGGGAGGCCAAGGCGGGCAGATCACGAGGTCAGGAGATTGAGACCATCCTGGCTAACATGGTGAAACCCCATCTCTACTAAAAATACAAAAAATTAGCCAGGCGTGGTCGTGGGCACCTGTAGTCCCAGCTACTCAGGAGGGTGAGGTAGGAGAATTGTGTGAACCCGGGAGATATAGCTTGCAGTGAGCCGAGATCACGCCACTGCACTCCAGCCTGGGTGACAGAGCAAGACTCGGTTTCGAAAAAAAAAAAAAAAAAAAGTGAGTGAAAATATTTAAATATTCTGGCAATTAGTGATCAAAAATAGAAAAATAAATAATAAATATACTTTAACTTCTTCATAGTCCACAGTGCTGTGCCATAGCTCTGCCTTCATTATTTGTACTTTAAAGGGAGCTCTTTCAGGCATTTCTTCAAATCAAATCTAAGAACCAGGAAAACAACACCTTTTAAGACTTTAGTCTGATCTTCAACAATTGAGACATTTTTCCCACTATTGTTCTTTTGAAATAGTCTAATTTAATAAAATCTAGGGAAGTTGAATTCTGAAGTCCATAGGGGAACAAGAGGGAAAGAATATTCTTTTATTCTTTCTCTGGTTTCCAGAAATCATACTGTACCTGTCAAGATTCTCTGAATGAACAGCACCAAAAAGTGACTCCATAAAATCAGTAAAACATACAATGCTTAATACCTGTCAGAGACACCATCAATATATGAATATATTACCATTTGATGAAGTTTCAACTGCCAGCTACTGAGATGACCGAGATAAATAGCCAGCATCATCTTAATCTTCAAAAGGTACTTGTTCCTACTGTCATGAAAAATTTCTTCTCTTATGTGATGGAGTTTACCCTGTAAATTAAATCTCTCAAGTAATGGAAGAAATAACCCATGACACTGGTGAGGGAAATTAAATTAGAGTCACTAATAGCAGGTCAGCACAGTCTGAGCAGAGGTAATGGAAGTGACCACATGAATGATAAGCAGGTCTTCGCAAGGCTGTGACAAGTGTCTCCCGGACAGTGTGACGAGCATTCATCTAGGTGGCAAGCAATTCATAGTCAAGACACTAACATGTTTATAGTGCAGCTCGCCCCCATCTATGCCAGAGTATGTCAACCTTTCTGAGGAGGATGTTCTAATTCCCTCGTGAAGGCCATTAGGAAAAGTTAAAAATGAGGTTCCCTGTTTCTGGGTAAATCAATTTCTCATCGCCTAGAAACCTTTCTGGCCAGAGCAGATGACCTTTAGAGATAAGAAGAATCACAGAGCTATACTTAAATAACTTTATTTTTTTTAAGCATTAGAAGGAAACAAAAGGAAAATTGTGCTACAGTTCAACAGTCAGAAGGTGGCTAAAACAAATGGAGTTATTTTAGCTTTGTTGCTAAGGCTTGGGAGCACGGTAATGCCAATGACAAAATAACCTATTGTGTGGGAAAGTTAAAATGGTACCTTGCACTTTATAGGTAGCCCTTCCGGACCTCAGCTGTGATTTACTTTCTAATGCTCAATCGGGATCACTGAACTTTTGATATAAACATAATAAATAAGTAAGTAACACAGCTGCTGAAAATGGGGACAAGAGCAGGAAACGGGGATGTGGAACAGGGAAAGGAAGCTGTGAAGAATGACTTCTAGAAAATCACTAATAGTCTGATGGCTGCAACTTGACCTATTCTGTTAAAATATGTTTTACTATGATCTCAGATAATAAATGATAGGATCGTGAAAAATGACCATTTTTAAATAGAGAAATGTCTGCATTGCCTGACATATTGTTTGGGGTGTAAATAGACAGAAATGTGCACTTAAATTATCCTATATCTGAGATGGTAATTTATGCTTGTTATTGTACAATACTTTTCCTAAGTATAATGTCCCTAGAACCACTGATTTGCAAAGAAAAAAATTATTGTTGTATGCTCTCCATCCTATTTGCTTTAAATAGGTATTGTTAGTTGTAATATTCAGTATTTTAAAATTATTTGCATTAAAAATGGAAAATAAAAAAGCAAGGATAAGAAGTTATTTTTCTGCTTTTAAAGTAGATGACTGTTTCTTAGTATATAAATAAATTTATCTTTATTTTTATTTTTAATAGCCCAATCTTTGTATAGTTAACCAAGAAAATAATCCAAAATATTGGATTCTGATGATATTATGCTTTACAGGTATGTAAAGTCAGGTCAAAACCATAGCACTTGAAGAAAATGAATGGAAAAATGAAACAGTTTAATAGAATAAAAAGCTCATAGAATGCCAATTTGGAAAAGAAGTGGCCTGTCCATTCTTTGAATTTAGTAAAGCAGGCAAGATGAGCATCTGGGAACATGATGAATTCAGTGGTTAAGGAAAATAAACGGCAATAAGTTCTGATCCTCAACCTCTTGCTAACTTATCATATTACTATACTGGGTCAAGTTATTTGCTTCTCTGAATCCGTTTTCTCATCTGTGAAATAAAATTATAAAAAATAAAAAGCTTATTAAGTTTGGTTAGAAATGGAATTTCACATAGGTTTTATCGGATATACTGAATAAAAGTCATTAATTTCATAGTTGGCACCATTATTCGTAATAAACAAAGTGGAGCTGTGAATTTCAGTCCTATGAAATATAAATGGGCCCATATTTAGTTCCAAACATGCACAAAATAATTAAACATTCCTTCAAATCCCACTGACTGGTTCTTATGCTTAATCAAATGAAAGAAGAAAGAAATTCCCATTTAGCAAAAGATAACATTATTTCTTTGAATTATTCATTTTCAATTACTGTTCTATTTTTATCAAAACAGAATACTAAAAAATAAGGGTTTTTCAGATCTTAGAAGCAGTTTTCTTAGAATAGCATGTCTTGCCTTTCATATGGTAAAAATATCTCTAAGTCTGAAGTATGAGGCCAAATCAAATCAGAAACTTAGTAAAGAATATAAAATTGAAGAAAATAAATCTTTCTTTTTATAATAAACATTTATTTATTAATTTTTACTTTTTGCTTTGTTTATAGATCTTTCCCCTTTCAAATTAACTGAGCAAAACTAGTTGGTTCTAACAAGATTAGTTTTAAAATTCAATGAAAAATCCTTTTTTTTTAATCTGTATTAAAATGAAAACCTGGCTGGGCGTGGTGGCTCACACCTGTAATACCAGCACTTTGGGAGGCCGAGGCGGGCAGATCATCTGAGGTTAGGAGTTTGAGACCAGCCTGACCAATGTGGTGAAACCCCATCCCTACTAAAAATACAAAATTAGCCTGGCATGGTGGCGCAAACCTGTAATCCCAGCTACTCAGGAGGCTGAGGCAGGAGAATTGCTTGAACCCGGGAGGCAGAAGTTGCAGCAAGCCGATATCACACCACTGCACTTCAGCCTGGGTAACGAGCAAAACTCCATCTCAAAAAAATAAATAAATAAAAAATAAAAGCCTATTTCCACTCTCAGAAATGTCCATTCAATTTAGTGACATGGGAAATTGTTGACAATATGTTATAAAGTAGAAAAACTACTATTCAAAATGTTAACTTTAAATTTTGTTTTACATTAATTTTCAGTCTAAATTTCAAATTTTAGTTTTGCTTTAAAAAATCTATACAATATAAATATACAGTTCCTATACATACTTGGCTATACACATACACACACATATAGCACTGATGATCATAATATAATTGGATTATGGGTAATTTTTCTATGTATAATTTTTTCTACTATAAACATATATTTGTAATCAGAAAATGTTACAAAATAAATATAAAATTTTATTCACCAATATGGAATAGGATGTGTTACTATAACACTCTCATATTGATAATATTTGCTAGATAATTTTATGTAAAAGAATTAAGTGAATACCATTTAACATAAAAATATGCTGATTCCAGAAAAAATACAAAATTAATAACACTATTTTATACTTAAGTACCTCAAATTTTTTATTAACTTTTGATTTAATCCACCAACTGTACATTTCATGCAAAATATATATAATTTTTGTTAAATTAAGACAGGTAAAACAATTTGATATATCCCCCATACATATTAGGCATTACTTGACTGACTATCAACTTGACCTCACAGACTTGGCAATATAATATGTACAGAGCCCATGCAGGAAATATAAACGTGTGAAGCAAAAAGCTGAGAAAGTATTGAACATTAGGGAGTGTTGCAGAGTGAACCAGAAACTCTTCTGTTCAGCTGATTATTGCCATGTGGCAGTGAAGGCTCACACTGAAGGACAGTTTTTGAGAGAAGATAAAAATCAGGATTTTCAGTTGAGATCTATAGGTTTTAAAAGTATTGTATAAATCAAGTAAAAACAATTATGCTGACGTAGTATAATTTATGGAATACCCATTTGCAGCCTCTAGACTGAATTGTCCTAATCAATGCTAGACTTGAGTATTTCAAATGTACTTTATCCCTGCACACTTACACTTGCCATACCAATTGTTTGCCCACTCAGATTTTCACAAACCCTGTCTTCTACTTGGTAGAAACTAACTGTTCATGTGGTCAATTTATAGTTGTAAAATATTTTGGTATTTATCACTATGTGAATTACTGTTGCTTATCAAGAATCAAGGTTAATATTACTACTGGACACATATATTTGTAATCAGAAAATGTTACAAAATAGATATAAAATCTTATTCACCAATATGGAAGAGGATATGTTATTATGATAACACTCTCATATTGATAATATTTACTAGACAATTTTATGTAATCAAGAATCAAGCCAGAAAGAATAAATAAGTTCTGGGATATTCCTCCTCAATGATCTCAAAATATGTAAAATAATTTTTAATTATTTGTTCAACGTAATTAAATCTTACCAATATTAGGCCGGGTGCAGTGGATCATGCCTGTAATCCCAGCACTTTGGGAGGCTGAGGCGGGCAGATCACGAGGTCAGGAGATCGAGACCATCCTGGCTAACATGGTGAAATCCCATCTCTACTAAAAATACAAAAAAATTAGCCGGGCATGGTGGCGGGCACCTGAAGTCCCAGCTACTCAGGAGGCTGAGGCAGGAGAATGGCGTTGAACCCAGGCAGAGCTTGCAGTGAGCCGAGATCACGCCACTGCACTCCAGCCCGGGTGACAGAGCGAGACTCCGTCTCAAAAAAAAAAAATCTTACCAATATTAGCTTATTGTATCCTAGTCACTTAAAATACATGTTTACCATTCAGTGGTTTTATAACTATTTATTTCTATGTTTGAAATACTACAGATAATGAATTAACATAGTACTCACATAAATCTCATGGCCTAACCCCTTATACATATTTATATCTATGTAATGTATCATTAAAGAAAAGACCATTACCATAAAACCTTACAAACAGGAAATTCTGTGTCACATGAAACAGTCCATCAATCTGGCAATTCTTTTTGTTGGTTAATCATTTAATTTTTTTCTCTAATTGAAATACAGTGTATTACTATTAGGGTTCTCTAGAGAAACAAAACCAATAGGAAATAGATAGGTAGATAAGACAAATGGACAGAGGAGAGACAGAGAGAGAGAGAGAGAGAATTTGCTATCATGGATTGGCTCATGTAATTTTGGAGGCTAGGAAGTCCCAGGATCTGCTGTCTGCAAACTAAAGACCCAGGAAAGCCAATGGTGTAATTCAGTCTGAAGGCCAGAGAACCAAGGAAGCTAATGGTATTAAGTCTCAGTCCAAATCCAAAAGCCTGCGAATCAGGAACACTGATGTCCTGGAACAGGGGAAGATGATGTTCTAGGTCAAGGAAGACAGTACATTTGCCCCTTTTCTGCCTTTTTGTTCTATTCAGGTCCTCGGTGGATTAGATGATACCTACTCAAATTGGTAAGGGCGATCTTCCTTCCCTAGTCTTCCAATGCAAGTCCTAATCTATTCTGGAAACATCCTCACAGACCCACCCAGAAATAATGTTTTACCAGCTGTGTACCCTTTCACCTATTCAGGTTGACCCATACAATTAACCATAACATAGCCTGATTTGCTGCCAATCAAAAAAAAGTGATGGCAGATTTTAGAAACAGACTTAGTCTCAAATCTAGACACTGTCAGAAAATTGAGTCTTCTTGAACATGTAGGCTTCACTACTCAATTAACACTAATTCAACACATTTTTATATAGTAACTATTATAAGCTAGCCCATGTTCCAAGTGCAGTGGAAAACAGGAAGGATCCAATTTTATTATTCTGGCAGGATGAGGCAGATATCAAAAAATAAACAAGGCCGTGTTAGAGAATAATAAATGTTCTGCAAACAATTAGAGGCATGTAATAGAGCTGCAGGGGCCACCTTAGATTGAGATCAGGAAAATCTTCTCTAAGGACATATAAGTTAAAACTTGAATTGCCAAAAAAAAAAAAAATACCAACCATGAAAAGATCAAGAGAAAGAATTTCAAGAACAGAGAGAAGGCCAACGTGGCAAGGGTCAGTGGGCAAGGGTAGGTTACTGAGACACGAAATCCAAGACAGGCAGAGATCATTTCCTGTGGGGCTTTACAGGGCATGAAGGAGTTTGTATCTACTCTAAGTATAGTGACATCTGTTTTTAAAAGATCTCTGCTGACTCTGTGGAGAATAAATTATGCAGAGGCAGAAATGCAAACAGAGATTAAGTATTGCAGGGAAGGGTAATGATGGGTTGGATGATGTGATAGAAGTAGAGGGAATATGTTTTGCAGGTAGAATCAGTTTTACATGCTAATAACTTGAATGTGGGAAGTAAGGGAAAAAGAAGTGCAGACTTCATAGATTTTTGACTTAAGCAATTAGATAGGTAATACTGCTATTTACTGAGATGGAAGAATTGGGGAGAAACAAGTGTGGGTTAAGGGAAGGGAAACAGAGTTATGTTTTAGGACAAGTGAGCTTCTAGTGACTTTTAGACATTCAATGAGAAGCAGGACGTTGAATATAGGATTCTGTATTTGTAGAAAGATGTTAAAACTAGTACAGGAGTCATTAGCATAAGGATGGTAAAATAATGGAGCAGGATGATTATTTTTTAAATGTGTGGTTTAAAAATAAAAAAGAAGGCCAGGCACAGTGGCTCACGCCTATAATCCCAGCACTTTGGAAGGCTGAAGGGGGGTGGATCACCTGAGGTCAGGAGTTCGAGACCAGCCTGGCCAACGTGGTGAAATCCCATCTCTACTAAACATACAAAAAAATTAGCTGGGTGTGGTGGCAGGCCCCTGTAATCCCAGCTACTCTGGAGGCTGAGGTAGGAGAATCGCTTGAACCAGGAAGGCAGAGGTTGCAGTGAGCCAAGGTCGTGCCATTGCACTCCAGCCTGGGCAACAAAAGAGAAGCTCCATCTCAAAAAATAATAATTATTAATTAATTAATTAAAAATAAATAAATAAATAAGAAGGAAAGGGGCCAAGACCAAGCCCTGGTTCACTCAGTATTAGACATCAGGGAGGAGGAGCCAACAGTATCTGAGAAGGAGCATGTAATGACATGGACAAAAAAAAAAGAAAAGAAAAAAAAAGCAGAAACCAAGGAAAGAGTTTCAAGAAGGAAATGGTTAACTCCATGGGATGCCGCTGAAATCAAGTAAGACAAGGACAAGGAAATTGACCACTAGAATTTGGCAACATAGTGATCAGTCATAGGAGAATATTGGAGGTAGAATAATGATTGCAAAGGATTGGAGAAAGAAGGAGAGTTAATTTATTCAACAAGTTTTGCTTTAAAGATAAGCAGAGCTTAGAAGAGTAGCTTCAGGAAAGACATTTTTGTTTTGTTTTATTTGTTTTAGCATACGCTATGCTGATGTTACCTGGTGACCAAGATGCTAAATGCCCTCAGCTTAATTAAATTTCAGACAGGCTTCTTCCTGACGCTAGACCCCTGACATTTCTTTTCTTAAAGCATTTATTTTAAATAATATTTAATTGTAAATTCTTTCTCTGTCTTTTTGAAATGTAAATCTTTTTAAAGGCCTCTTGCCACTTTCCCAACCCAAGAGTGTCTTTCTGAAGAACCCAGAAGCCATCTCTTTAAAATGTAATCATCAGGGAAGATAGCACCGCTTGTCTCCCAGTTTCAGTGGGAGGGTAGTAGCTGAGCTTCAGCAGGCCCCTTGCTCCAAGTTGCAAAGCTACCTCTTGTCATGAAGATAAGTGAAGTTTATTAGCAAACACAGATGGCCTATAGCGTCCCCCTAACATCTTCCAGTACTTTTCCACTAGCACACCCCAGCCTTTAGAAATCCCACTGCTCTGGCCAAGCGCAGTGGCTCACGCCTGTAATCCCAGCACTTTGGGAGGCTGAGGCGGGCAGATCATGAGGTCAGGAGATCGAGACCATCCTGGCTAACACAGTGAAACCCCGTCTCTACTAAAAATACAAAAAAATTAGCTGGGCGTGGTGGCGGGCACCTGTAGTCCCAGCTACTTGGGAGGCTGTGGCAGGAGAATGGTGTGAACCCAGAAGGCCGAGCTTGCAGTGAGCCGAGATCGCACCGCTGCACTCCAGCCTGGGCGACAGAGCAAGACTCTGTCTCAAAAAAAAAAAAAAAAAAAAAAAGAAAAGAAAAGAAAAAAGAAATCCCACTACTCTTTGTTTTGGTGACATTGAATTCTGGCCTCACTCCCCAGTTGCAGCAGCATTGAGTAAAGTCTTCCTTGCCTGTCTAACTTGGTCCAGTACAGTTCTTGCTTTGACACTGATTGGCTTTCCTGATGTGCTCTCCATATCCTCTACTTACTTGATGTGTTTTCTTGTCTTTTCTGTTCCTTGAGTTCAGCCAGTGGGGAAAATGAGCAAGAGATCCTGGAGGGAAGGCGAAAAGAGGATTTTTATCTCCCCACTTCCGTCCCTCCCTATGAGGCTGTGGAGGGTTGGCTTGCCCCTCTCCTCAACCAGAGGGCAGGACTGCTTTCAGGAGCTTTCTCCATACAGATATCCCTGACTCCAGCAGGAAATTACTCATTTCCTTCACCTTTCAGGCTTAGGAGATTAAAAAAAAAGTGGGTATGGACGGGTGGCGGAGCCTTCCTTCCCTGGCACTGGACTGTTTCTCATGATGTCCCAACTACACTTTATCTGCCCTGGGTAAATAGTTCCTTTATTAAACTTTTCTCAAATGAGCCCATTAAATGTGCCATCTTCTTCCTGTAGAACTGCTAACTAGTACACAAGCCAATGGGAATTATCTAGCAATTGATGATACTAAAGGACTACACAATAATTACAGCAGTAAAGTCCTTGAGAAGATGACGTCGAATGGGAAGGCAGAAAGATCTCTATAAGAGGTACAAAACACTGCTGAAATAAATCATAGATGACACAAACAAATGAAAATACATCCATTATCCTGGATTGGAAGAATCAATATCATGGAAATGACCATACTGTCCAAAGCAATCTACAGACTCAGTGCAATTCCCATCAAAATACACATCATTTTTCATGGAATTAGAAAAACCACCCTAAAATTTATATGGAACCATAAAACAGCCTGAATAGTCAAAGTAATCCTAAGCAAAAAGTACAAATCTGGAGGCATCACATTAGCGAACTTCGAATTATACTAGAAGGCTGTAGTTACCAAAACAGCATGATAGTAGTATAAAAATAGGCACATGGACCAATGGAACACAGAGAACCCAGAAATAAAGTCAAATACATACAGCCAACTGATCTTTGACAAAGCATACAAAAGCATAAATTGGGGAAAGGACACCCTACTTACTACATGGTGCGGGGAAAACTGGCAAGCCACATGTAGAAGAATGAAACTGGATCCCTATCGCTCACTACATACAAAAATCAACTCAAGATGGATCAAAGATGTAAATCTAAGACCTGAAACCATACAAATTCTAGAAGATAACATTGGAAAAACTCTTCTAGGCATCAGCCTGGGCAAAGAATTCATGAGTAAAAAACAAAAATAAATAGGACCTAATTGAACTAAAATGCTTCTGCTTAGAAAAATAAATAACCGACAGAGTAAACAGACAACCCATAGAATGGGAAAAAATATTTGCAAACTATGCATCTGACAAAGGACTAGTATCCAGAATCTATAAGAAATGCAAACAAATTACCAGGAAAAAAACAAATAATTCCATTACAAAGTGGGCAAAGGACATGAATAGGCACTTCTCAAAAAGAAGATATATAAATGGCCAACAAACTTATGAAAAAATACTCAACTTCATTAATCATCAGGGAAATGCAAATTAAAACCATAATGGGATATCACCTTACTCCCGCAAGAATGCCCATTATTATAAAGTCAAAAAAAATACATATTGATGTGGATGCGGGGAAAAGGGAACACTTATTCACTACTGGTGAAATGTAAATTAGTACAACTGCTATGGAAAACAATATGGAGATTTCTTTTTTCTTTTTTAAGCCTGCTTCATTTTTATTTTATATAGTATGGTGACATTTTAAAGCACAAAAAGTAGATCTACCATTGGATCAAGAAATCCCACTACTAAGTGTCTACCCGAAGGAAAAGATGTCATTATATGAAAAAGACACTTTCACACATACGTTTATAGCAGAACAATTCACAATTGCAAAGATGTGGAAACCAATCTAAATGCCCATTTACTGAGTGGATAAAGAAAATGTTGTCTATATACGCCATGGAATACTACTCAGCCATTAAAAGGAACAAAATAATGTCTTTTGCAGCAACTTGAATGGCTGGAGGCCATTATTCTAAGTAACACAGGAGTGAAAAACCAAAAACTGTATTCCCATTTCTAAGTGGGAGCTAGGCTGTGAGTAGACAAAGCATACAGAGTGATATTATGAACTTTAGAGACTCAGAAGAAGAAGGGTGGGAGAAGGGCCAGGGATAAGAAGCTACACATTAAGTACAACGTACACTACTTGGGTAACAGGTACACTAAACTCTCAGAATTCACCAAAATATAATTTATCCATGTAACCAAAAACCACTTGTACCCCAAAAGCTATTGAAATTTGAAAAAATAAAAAATAAAATAAAAGAGAATGGGAAGGCAGAACACAAAGGGATTGGCCTTTGGTGGGAGCATTGTAATAATAAAAAGGCAGAAGTTGAAGGTTCAGGTGTAGGCTGACTGGTAAATCTGGCGGTGAGAAGACGAGAAAGTTTGTTTAAGTCTGATTGTTTCTATTTTTTCACAGATGTGAGACACAAGGCATATAAGACCTTTGAATGGATGTGTAATGTGGACTTTGTAGGGAGTAGAAGAGCCAAAATGTGTTAGGCAAGCAAACTGCAAATACAGGTGAATTTCAGTGCCCTTTGAGATTTGCATTCATGATCTTAGATAAAAAACAATCAGCAGGATTGGTAGTTCTTTCTCCTGGTTGCAGATTAGTTAGTGAGTTTAACCATGGTCAAAGTTTGACTAACCTAGTCAGATAGTAGGAAAGAGAGACAAGAGAGTAAAGTAATTTTCAAGGGATTGACACCTAAATACAGAGAGAAGTGGGGACCTTCTATCATATAAAGATATCACTAAAAACGTAAAGATGTTTGCAGTAGGCTGGAGAAAGAATAATAGTGCCCAAAAAAAAATAGATTTTCCATTGCCAGAATGAAAACAAAAATAAGTTTTTATTTTGTCTTCTAATATGTGAAAGATCTAAAAGCAGATAATCCCATATATACTCATTGATCATTTATGTTTCACTAAAAATGTGCTAGGCAGCAAAGCAGGGTACAAACCACTAAAATAAAAGGAAAATAATGTGTCATTCAGTTTTTTAATTCCATCAGTTCCAAGAAAACACACATGATTGAATAGGCCTGAGGCTACTGAAGATACAGAGTCCCTTTACTGAAGATATAGAGTCTCAGAATGGTCGTCAATGACATTCAGAAGACTGGTGACAGCATGAATGCTTGGGCTTCTGGAGAGAGGGCTGGGTGGAGGGATTAGAAAGTGCTAAGGCATTCTTCTACCTTAAAAACAAGTGCCTTAAGAAAAATAGATATATTTTATTAATTTTTTTAATTCAATAGGTTTTTGGAGAACAGGTGGTGTTTTGTTACTTGAATAAGTTCTTTAGTGGTGGTTTCTGAGATTGTGGTGCACCTATCATCCAAGAAGTGCACACTGTACCCAATGTGTAGTCTTTTATCCCTCACCCTCTTCCCACCCTTTCCCCTGAGTCCCCAAAGTCCATAGTATCATTCTTATGCCTTTGCATCCTCATAGCTTAGCTCCCACTTGTGAGTTAGAACATACGATGTTTGGTTTTCCATGTTACTTCACTTAGAATAATTGTCTCCAATTCCATCCAGGTTGCTGCAAATGCCATTATTTCATTCCTTTATATGGCTAAGTAGTATTCCATGGTATATATATACCACATGTTCTTTATCTTCTCGTTGATTGATGGGCATTTGGTAGGTTCCAAATTTTTGAAGTTGCGAATTGTGCTGCTATAAACATGCATGTGCAAGTATTTTTCTTGCATAATGACTTCTAGAAAAAAATCCATATTTTAATGTATGTGTATCTACATGTCTTAATGAATATATAATACTGCGTGTGTGTGCATACATGAATTTTCACATACACATGTGTGTGTACATACACATTTGACCCTTGAACAACTTGGGAGTCAGTGCCGGTCCCCAACCCCTACGCAGCCAAAAATCCACATATAAGTTTTGACTCCCCAGAAACTTAACTACTAATAGCCTACTGTTGACCAGAGGCTTTACAGATAACATAAACAGCAGATTAACACGTATTTCATGTTGTATGTATCATACACTGTATTCTTATAATAAAGTGAATTAGAGAAAATAAAATGTTATGAAAATCATAGGGAAGAGAAAGTATACTATTTGCTAAGTGGAAGTGGATCATCATAAATGCCTTATCCTTTTATCTTCACGTTGAGTAAGAGGAGGAGGAAGAAGAGGGGTTGGTCTTGCTCTTGGGGATGGCAAAGGAGAAGAAACTATGCATATAAATTGACCTGCACAGTTCAAATCCATGTTATTCAAGGGTCAGTTGTACATATATGTGCAAACACACACACACATTCATAAAATAAAATAGTCACTAGAATCAGGACTTTGAGATTTTTTCTTTTAGCCCTGGCAAAACAATGTTCAGGATACAGTATTTAGATATAGTACAACAGCAAAGGCTTAAAGTAGTGAATTCCAGCATACTTCTACCAGTTCACTGTAATGTCAAATAAACAAACACCCCTCCATTCTCAACACTTCAGTTCCCTCATCTGTAAAATAAAGAACCAAATTAGATTTTCTTTGAATTTACTTCCATTCTAAATGCTCTCTAATTCTAATATAAATAAGTAAATGAACACTGATTTATAATGAAAGACAGCATTTGTTGTACTAAAGGGGTTTGGTGTCATAGCTAAGAGTATAGTCTTTGGCTAGCCCATCTGGATTGAAATCCTGTTTCACTGCTTGCTGCTTAAATAAGTTACTTCACCTGTCTAAGTTTCTTCAACTGTAAAGGTGGAATAATAACCACATCATAGAGTTGTGCTGCGTAATGTGTTAATCCACATAAAGAATGTAAACAGGGCCTGACACATAGTAAGCATTCAATATTAGCTATTATTATTATCACTATTAGAAAACATTAAGGAAAAAGTTATGTAGCATGTAGTGTTAAGTATTTATGTAGTTTTAAAATTTTATTTACTGCTGGGGTAGAAAAGCTTTCACATTCTTAGAACAAAATGTAATTTCTGACTCTAAGTCTAGACTGTTTATGCAGACAAACAAACCTAACCCATTATTGGTGTTCTCTATGTTCTCTCCAGCAATTTCTCAGGTCTATTCATGTCAGGCCTCAGTCACACAGTCCTTTTTCAAATACCTCTTCCCCAGTTCCAATCCCCTCTCCAGGACTCAGTTGACTAACGACCCTGGAAATTTAATCAGACTCAGACACAGACAAAAATCCTATTAACAGAAGCTTATCCACTATCTCAATTCGAACTTAGCAACCCAGTTCTCCTTAGGACAGGGTAGAATGATGTTGTTTTATGATCCTGGATAGCTGAGAGAATTCTTTGGTATAGGTAAAATTGCAAGTGTGTTTAAATGCCAAGTGTGACCTTATCTACTTCTAGTAACTGAATTTTGAAGTCATACCCTCATTAAGAAAATTTATTTGGTTTGTATGCTTTTCCTTTTTCTTTAAGTGGAAAAGTTATAAATGGGCTGGGCATGGTCACACCTGTAATCTCAACACTTTGGAAGAGTGATCACTTCATCCCAGGAGTTTGAAACCAGCCTGGGCAAAATAAAGAGACCTCATCTCTACAAAAAAATTTAAAAATTAGCTGAGTCTGGTGGCACATGCCTGTAGTCCCAGTTACTCAGGAGGCTGAGGCAGGAGGATGAGCTTGAACTCAGCAGGTGAAGGCTCCAGTGAGTTATGATCACAGCACTGCACTGCACCCTAGGTGACAGAGCAAGACCCTGTGAAGGAAGAAAGAAAAGAAAAGAAAGGGAGAAAGAGAGAAAGAAAAAGAAAGAAGGAAGGAAGGAAGGAAGGAAGGAAGGAAGGAAGGAAGGAAGGAAGGAAGGAAAAGAAAGAAAGAAAGAAAGAAGAAAGAGAAAGAAAGAAAGAGAGAGAAAGAAGGAAGGAAGGAAGGAAGGAAGGAAGGAAGGAAGGAAGAAAGAAAGAAAGAAAGAAAGAAAGAAAAAGAAAGAAAGAAAGAAAGAAAGAAAGAGAAAAGAAAGAAAGAAGGGAGGGAGGGAGGGAGGGAGGAGGGAAAGAAAGAGAGAGAGAGAGAGAAAGAAAGAGAGAGAAAGAAAGAGGTTATAAATAAATACTACCTAAGAGGAAGCCTTCTGTGATCTGCTGAGCCAATAACTTTCATTTCTCCCATGGCTTTTAATTCACTCACCTTAGAGCAAATTAAGAATTGGATGACACAATTAGACTGCATACATAAGGAAATAGCTGATTATTAAGGACCTCATAAGTCAAATAAAAAATTGGGATATTCCTGATCACTTATGGGAACATATTCCTGTGATTTATAAAAAGGGAATAACAGATCAAATTTTCATCTCCAAAAGATCTCACTGACCCCTCAATTCTGAATTTCATCTGCATTCATAGATGCAACTTTGTACCTGTAAGTTTTTAGCTTTGAATTACTCAAAGGATACCACAGATGTCATTGCCATTCTTTCCTGTCTTTCTCCCTTATCACTCCTCCAAGTTAGCACCTAGTGAAGTGTTCAGGAAGTATTGATTTACTAATTATACCCTCATTTCTTAAAACTCACAATATTCTCAATATAGCACCAAAAGACATGAAGAAGTAGAAAATATGATTCTCTAAGTCCATTTAAATTTTTGCTGGATGTAGAAAATATTTATTGAGCCAAATTATCCTATAAAATAAATATGAATGAAGAACTATTACAAAAAATTTATAAGACTAGCATAAGAGATTCAATTAAATCTAGAATTAGCAATCTCTCAGGCCCCTTCCCTATATCCTAATATGTACCCTTAGATCCATTTAGAATTTATAAATATATATTTATGCACTTGTTTGAACTATATGCATATTAGAAAAAAAAATCTTTCAGAGAATATAAGCAAGTGCACAAAGGTTATGACTTTCACAGAAAATCCATCACCTCTCCATTTTTCCCTTAGGTATGGCACCAGAGTCTCAGAACATTAGGTTATGACTATTTACCCTTTTATAATGGAAAGTTAGCAGCATTAACTGAGCAGATAGACAGAGAAGGAAATAGAGCAGAATGATGGCTAAAGCCTTGGGGAATGAATATTCACAATGAGTAAATGGGAAGAAAGGAGTTATTCTGAGGAACAGAGAAGGATAGTTTTTTAGCAAACCTAAGAATAAAAGGGGTTATACAGTGTTTGTATGAATTATTGCTTCCTTTGGGGTCCCATTTTGACATCATATTTTTAGCAGAATATATTTATCATGGTTTTACCCAGTCATCACTTGCTAGCTCACAAGTTAATATTTGGCACTTAATACGAAATGCTAAAAAAATTATATAATAATACAATACTTCCTAATGTTTGAAAAACACCCCTCAACATAAGAATAGTTTAGGACTTTTCTTATCTACATTCTTCACAAGCAGTCTTGCAACCCATCAAGGATTCCATTAACATAGAACTCATGTTCATAGATCTAGCAATAATACTTAGTATCACAGCATCTACCCCTCAGGGAAGAAAGTACACACACACAAACACACACACACACACACGTACACACACACACAAGGAATAATGTCAAGTAAGTGTATTTCTAACCAGCATTAATCTAAAATGTTTTGGTCAAGAGTGTAATATCATTGTAAGTCAACCCCCTGGAAGCACTTTTTGAAACGCCAATGTTGATTTTGAGGAAATCATCTTAGAATAGCCAAAATAAATCTCAAATGGTAGCATCCAGCCGGTTAGCCACTGGCTGTTTAATCCTTCAGCATGGCATTCTGCTTCTAGAGGGTATCAGTCTCTGTGCCCATTAAGTCTCTGCCTCCATTGAGCCTGTCACCCTGGGTGTCATTTACAGCCATCATTTGGGGACATTCCAACCATTACTTACACTAATTTCAAATATCCTGGGACTTAGTCCAATGTTTAAAATGTATTTTTTTCTAAAAGAACCTCTTAATGTGTCATCAGAAGACTAATTCTCTCTAAAAGAATAATTATCCAGCCCAGGGGCACAGAGCAGAGTTTGATTCCAAATAATAAAGCAAATTAACTCCCCAAGCATAAAATCTGGGTTCCTTGAAGAAAAGCACAATTTTGAATCAGAATCCTGTTGCTAGCCCTTTCTATTTGACCCCAACCTGAATTCCAATGGAAAGACATAACAAGGAACTCAATGTAATATGGGTTTAACTTTTTTCTTCCAATCCAAAAGAATAGAAACATTTGATAACCTTCCGACATATACGTGGGCTGTGTGGGCTTATCAGAGTTTTCATCTTCTATAAAAGATCCTGGAACCATTTAAATAGCCAACAACAGAAATAGGGAATTCTAGATCTATGACTGTAAACTGGCAAGTCAAAAGCCGCTTGCATGTCAGATTTATTTTATGTGAACTGTGTTGTGTTTTGGGGAAAAAAAGGAAATCTGTTTGAAGGTCTTTAAATGGAGCACACATTCCAATTTCCCAAGTCCACTCTGCTTTTTATTAATTATACCTGCTCAATTACACAGGACGTGTTGAGTTTGCAATGAATTGCTTTTAAATGGAAGGAGGAGTATTTATCTGAACTCTCAAAGAGAAATAATATGTAATTGCCACCTGTCAACTAGGGTGAATCACCTTAAATCCCTGGTAAAGAATAAAGGCCTTTTCCTACCTAGAAGACCTTCTGCTTCTGACTGCAGAACAGACACACAGTGTTTTAAAATAGCTTCCATTTTCTTTTGTTTTAAATACCATTTAATATTTGCTTTTACAGCCATCATCTCATTAAGGAAAATTTAAAAGTGCAGAAGAGTAGAAAGATAATCTCTAGCTTCCCTTAACAAATATAAGCACTTTGGATATTCTGAGGTGTTTTTTTTTTTTTTTTTTTGGTCTTTTGTTTTCTATGTATATATTGGTCTTGCTTTATATGTGGTTGAAATCTTATTGTCTAATTTTTCACCTTGCCTTTTCAATTTACTATCTCAAATATTTTCTGTAATGGTCTTATTTTCATGAACAATACTATAATAAACAATATTGTTTGTAGACATTGCTTTCTATTTACCAGGGATACCATAGTTTCCATCAGAAATAAACTTAGTCTGTTTCTAATTTTTTCAAAATAGTACACTAAATATCCTAACACAGTGCTGAATAATGCATTGCCCATATTTAAAATTATTTTCTTAGTATAAATTTTCAGAACAGAGTCAAAGATAGTGAGTAATTTTAGGGTTTTTAATAGCTATTAACACATTTCCATAAGCACTGAACCATTCTCAGTGGCACATTCAAAATGTCAGTGTATGCTTGCTAGTGATGTGTATTATCGATTTCTAAACATCTTTATAATGTGATACATAAGCAGGATAAATGTTTGTTGAGCTATTTTTTTCTAAATTTGACCTTCCACTCTATCTTTTTCCAATGTTTTTTCCTTAAATTCAAAGGACTTAATAGTTGACTGAAAACTTCAAATCATCTATTCTAACCCTTTTAAGATTTGGAAATTGGAAGCCAGAAATGTGAAGTGATTTGCCAGTTGAATTTGTTTTCTTTGTCTTTATTACTAATTTAAGGCATTAAGCTTCAGATAGTAAGACACAGAAGACAAGCAATTCTAGTTGGTAAGTTCCAGCTAACTGGTACTATCACTTCATACTTCACTGAGAAAATAAAAGCCATTTAAAACCACAACCACAAGTCTACCTGCATCTGAACCCACTCTCTTCTTCTTAGGTCCTTTTATTAAAGGCAAATCCATGTTATCAAATATGATCCCCTCATGTCTTCATAAGGGCTTTGTCTCTGGAATTATCTTTTTCTCCTACACCAGCTATCTCTTCCAGTCTTCTCAAACATTTCCATCAACATGCAAATATGTGGTTGTATTTTAAAAACAAAACACAGCAAAGCAAAAATTTTTAGTCACATCTCTTTTTGAGCTAATGTCCTAATACTCTGTTTCTTTTAACAAATAAATGTCTGTGGAGAATAATCTCTAATGAAATCTATACTTCCTTACCTCATTTCATTCATTCCAGTCTTTATTTTGTCTCTATCATTTCATCAATACTGCTCTTACCAAAGTCACCAAATAGCCACCAAGTTGCCAAATCCAGTGAATATTTTTCTATCATTGTCTAAGCAGCTAGTCTCAAAATGTGGTCCAGGAGTCCCTGAGGTACCCATAACCTTTCTATGGGTTCATGAAATAAAGTCTATTTTTAGTATTTGAGTATTAAAAGCTTATGGCTATGGTTTCAGATACCATATTGCAATTAATTGTTAAGGAATTGTCACTTACCAAGTTTGGGTACAGTATAAAAGAATATCCACAATTATCTTAAAAGTCTATTAAAATACTACTCCCTTTTCTAACCTTATTTTCAAAGAGGCTTGCCAGATTTTCTTCTTATGTTTCAACCAAAAACAATGGAGCACACCAGATTGAATGCAGAAAGACATGAGAATCTGGATGTCTTCTATTAAGTCAGAAATTAAGGAGATTTGCAAAAATATAAAACAATGTCACTATTTTCAATATTTTGTGTTGATGAATAAAGTTAATTTTATAAAAGTATGTCTTTATGTTGATATAAAATTTTTGCTATTTTTAAATTAATAAATACATATTTTAAATTTTTATCACTTTTAATTTCTCATATGATAAATGTTGATTAGATATAACCCATATAAACAAAAGCTTCTTAGTATTTCCATAATTTCCAGGAGTATAAAAAATTCTTCAGTTCGAAATGGTTGGAAACTTACCTCTGGTCTAACTCACCCTTTTTTTTTTTTATAACACTACACTCTACTTATTTTCTTTCTACTTCACTAATCCTCTCTTTTTTTTTTTTTTTTTTTTTACACACTGGATCCTCCTTGTTTGTTCATTCTCTAAAAAGCAGAGTTACTTGGAGCTCTATGCAGGATCCTCTATTTTTCTATGTCTGCCTTCCTACACAATCATATTTACTACCAGGGCCTTAAATTCTACCTCGGTAAGGTTAACTCCCAAATTTTTATCTCTGAGCTTCAGAATTTATAGACAATCATATATCACATTTCCACTTAAATGTCTTTAAACTATCATGTACAAAACTTAAAGCTTAATTCCACCTCTCCAAACCAATCTTCTTCTGAACTTCCCACATAATAACCTCAGGCCAAAGACCTGGAGATCGTCCTTGAATTTTTATTCCCCTTGCCTTCCGCATCCAATAGAAAATGCTGTTGTTTCTTCTTCTGAAATATACACAGAGCTTTCCACTTCATCCTATTTTCAATGACACTGATTTAATCCAAGTCACCACCTTTTCTGACATAGTCCCAGCAATAGCCTCCTTTCTGTTCCCCAAATTTTGACTCTTGCCCCACCTAATTTATCCTCCAGAATAATCACCCCTCTATTATTCTCTATCACAGCACTCTTTTAGTTCCCTTGGTGCACATAACATTTGGTGTTTTTGCTTATGGTTCATGCATTATCTGTCTCCTCCACAAGACTGTCAGTTCCCTAATGGCAGAGATCAGGTCTGTTTGTTCACTGCTCTCTCTGAGAGACCTAATATGGTGTCTAGCATGCAACGCATTCTGACTATTTGATGATCTTAGTCATCAGTCCATGATATCTTGGAAATTCCCTGTGGTGGTTTTGACTGTGTCAACTGAGATAAGCTGGAGCTATATTACCTCGAATCTCACTCCTTGTGTGGTAGCTTGGTAACAAGAGAAATGTGAGGAGGAGAGCAATAGCCATTATGTTCTGCAGTTTGTGGAGGGTGTGAGGTCCCACTGCAACACCTCCACATTGTTATGATCTGATAGTTCACCCAGATGGCGTGGGGCAGCTCCTCCAGCTCCTGCCAGACCTCATCGACTTCTCCAAGTTCTATGTATCTGGTGAAGGATGGCAGCTTTTCTTAGTGGTCACCTGTATCACTAAGTTTCAAGTCTGTCTTTACCCTCCTCATGGGCATCCAGCATGTCCTTGCCCTCCTCATCTTCACACTCAGCTTTTCCATCTGACCATCAGCCCTGCAGGCCCACAGCCACTTTAGGCCACATCACATGCAGAGACAATAGCCTTCCTTTCATGAAATTCTTTACCTACTCACACAATTGCTTAATGTCTACTCCCTATGATAAATTCTTTTCTATATCACTCAAAGAGGTTTTGCTCTTTTATCAAACCCTACCTAATACTTTTCCTAGTAAGAAATCTCATGTACCCAGTTTATCCAACCTGCTACCACTAAGAAACTTAAGCAATTTGAAAATTATAAAGAGAAAACAAGTCTTAAAAATGTCTGTCAATTACTCTGATAACAGTCAATTTGCTGAGACAGCTGGGAGTTTGCCTAATCTTAGAATAGAAACAATCAAAGGTAAGATCCCAAAATTCAAGTCCACAACTTCTTTATAACCAGAACCCAAAGGATTTTAAAACTCTGTCTGGCAAGCTGACAACCCAGGAATATTTGTTTACATGTTTGTTTTCACTGAAACTGTTAAATTTGCATATGTGTGTAAGCATAGGAACAATGTAAGTCGTGGAAGAAACCAGGAAGCACATATTTGCATCATTTTACTAGCTTTCTCAAATATTCAGCTCAAAATTGCAAAAAGAACTATAAAATCTGATGTAGATTTTAAAGCCAACCAACCTAGACTCAAGCTCTGAAATGACCATTGCACATCCATATAAGATACTTTATGCTAGAATTTTCAATTTGACAGTAAACCAGCAGATAGAAGCAAGTCTGCAGGCCTTTCCTAGTCACCCTAAGAAAGAACTGTTTGCCAAGTTCACATTTTCTGCCAACTACTGACAACAGTACCAATTATTTTTCTTCCATATTCCATTGGTGTATGTGGCTAAGGCTGCGCCTCACTGACAGAGCTATAAATTTGCAGGTTGTAAAGATTTAATGGTAGGACCCTGTTAGTGACAGCTCTATTTGTGGTGCAGACACCTCATGGGGTTGATGGAGGTCTGGGCTGAGGGTCCAGTTCATTCCTTTTACATCTTATCCATCAGCTTCCCTAAACTGCTCCCTGCAAATTCTAGGAAGATTTAATGTAGCATTCCCAGAAATAAGATCAAGTTTAACATTTTCCTCATATTATGGCAGTTTTGGGTATCACTTTAATAATGATAATAAGACTTTGAAATTTATAACACTTTTCTACTAAGAAGCCTATATGTAGCTTCAGGTATTCTTATTTTTACCTCCTTAATAAAGAGAGAATATCTGTGTTATAAATGAGCACTCTGAAATTAGAAAGACTAAATGCCTTGCTTTAAATCTCTTGGGAAATAAGAGAGACTTATCCAAAATCCTTGCTTGTAATGCAGCCTTTTTGCACTTCCCTGTTGTTTCTTAAAATTAACTCACCCCAAACTTCTTTAATAATAAAACATTGTTATTATCTTGAGCACTAGCCTTTATGGAGTGCACTGTGAGAGCATTGACAGTTCATAACGAATTTCTACATCTGCTCACTCACAGCAGCCAAGTGAAGTTTGAGTAAGATAATGTTTACTCTGTGTGGTTTGGCTATACAGCCAACACATAAAGGGAAGAGAGGGCTGGCATAAATTTGTCCTGGAAGTTTTAATGTATGTTGAAATATCTCCATAGTATATCCAAGAGCAGGAAAATGCTTATTTCTTAGAGTATTGGAGTTTTATCAGAAGTTACAGTTTTAATAACCACTCAGTATTTATGGAGTACATAGTCTTTATAGTACAGCATCTAGTACAGTCTGTACAAAAGAAGCATAAAACAGGCTCCTGACCACCACAGACTTACAGTTTAACACAGAATGAAAAGTGAACAGATAATATGCACATCTGAGATCAAAGTGTGTCCGGAATTGGTGGGTTCTTGGTCTTACTGACTTCAAGAATGAAGCCGTGGACCCTCGCGGTGAGTGTTACAGCTCTTAAGGTGGCGTGTCTGGAGTCTGTCCCTTCTGATGTTCAGATGTGTTCGGAGTTTCTTCCTTCTGGTGGGTTCATGGTCTCGCTGGCTCAGGAGTGAAGCTGCAGACCTTCGCAGTGAGTGTTACAGCTCTTAAGGCAGGGCGTCTGGAGTTGGTCGTTCCTCCCTTTGGGCTCGTGGTCTTGCTGGGCTCAGGAGTGAAGCTGCAGATCTTCGCGGTGAGTGTTACAGCTCATAAAAGCAGCGTGGACCCAAAGAGTGAGCAGTAGCAAGATTTATTGCAAAGAGCAAAAGAACAAAGCTTCCACAGTGTGGAAGGGGACCCGAGCGGGTTGCCAATGCTGGCTCGGGCAGCCTGCTTTTATTCTCTTATCTGGCCCCACCCACATCCTGCTGATGGGTAGAGCCCAGTGGCCTGTTTTGTCAGGGCGCTGATTGGTGCATTTACAATCCCGGAGCTAAATACAAAGGTTCTCCACGTCCCCATCAGATTAGTTAGATACAGAGTTTCCACACACAGGTTCTCCAAGGCCCCACCAGAGCAGCTAGATACAGAGTGTCGATTGGTGCACTCACAAACCTTGAGCTAAACACAGGGTGCTGATTGGTGTATTTACAATCCCTGAGCTAGACATAAAGACTCTCCACGTCCTCACCAGAGCAGCTAGATACAGAGTGTCGATTGGTGCATTCACAAACCTTGAGCTAAACACAGGGTGCTGATTGGTGTATTTACAAACCTTGAGCTAGATACAGAGTGCCAGTTGGTGTATTTACAATCCCTGAGCTAGACATAAAGACTCTCCACGTCCTCACCAGAGCAGCTAGATACAGAGTGTCGATTGGTGCACTCACAAACCTTGAGCTAAACACAGGGTGCTGATTGGTGTGTTTACAAACCTTGAGCTAGATACAGAGTGCCGATTGGTGTATTTACAATCCTTGAGCTAGACATAAAGGTTCTCCACGTCCTCACCAGAGCAGCTAGATAGAGTGTCGACTGGTGCACTCACAAACCTTGAGCTAAACACAGGGTGCTGATTGGTGTATTTACAATCCCTGAGCTAGATATAAAGACTCTCCACGTCCCCACCAGACTCAGGAGCCCAGCTGGCTTCACCTAGTGGATCCTGCACCCGGGTTGCAGGTGGAGCTCCCTGCCAGTCCTGCGCCGTGCGCTCGCATTCCTCAGCCCTTGGGTGGTCGATGGGACTGGGCACCGTGGAGCAGGGGGTGGCACTCGTCGGGGAGGCTCGAGCCGCACAGGAGCCCATGGAGTGGGTGGGAGGCTCAGGCATGGCGGGCTGCAGGTCCCAAGCCCTGCTCCGCGGGAAGGCAGCTAAGGCCCGTCGAGAAATCGAGCACAGCGCCGGTGGGCCGGCACTGCTGGGGGACTCAGTACACCCTCCGCAGCCACTGGCCCGGGTGCTAAGTCCCCCATTCCCCGGGGCCAGCAGGGCTGGCTGGCTGCTCCGAGTGCGGGGCCCACCAAGCCCATGCCCACCCGGAACTCCAGCTGGCCCGCAAGTGCCGCACACAGCCCCGGTTCCCGCTCATGCCTCTCCCTCCACACCTCCCTGCAAGCTGAGGGAGTGGGCTCCGGCCTTGGCCAGCCCAGAAAGGGGCTCCCACAGTGCAGTGGAGGACTGAAGGGCTCCTCAAATGCCACCAAAGTGGGAGCCCAGGCAGGGGAGGTGCTGAGAGCAAGCGAGGGCTCTGAGGACTGCCAGCACGCTGTCACCTCTCAAAAGGGCCAAAATGTGGTACAGCCTAGAAGTAAAATGAGGGTTTGGAGGGGACAAACATCTGTGTGGACAACAGAAGAGTTGTGGTTTAGTGAAGACAGCATGGAGTTCAGAATCACAGCGAGCCCACTCCTAACACAGTCTGTGTGATCTTCAAGACTTTCAAGCTCATTTTAATCTCTCTGGGCCTCAGTTGACTGATTCATAGAATGATATCAATGTAAAATGATATTGCTCCTGCAGTGAGATGACGAGAATTCCATCACCTAACAGCCATGTAAACTGCTTGTCCCAGAGCAGGTGTTCTGTCAATAGTGGCCATTATAACATTTGGGAGACTTCTTGGAAATGCTCTCACCAAAAACCACATCAAAACCTATGAATAAACCTCAGACTAGCAAAATCCTCAGCAATGTAGAAAAGCTGTGGTCATTCTGGGCATGCTAGAAGATTTTAGAGACAATTTCGGGTTAAGAAACAAGAAGAAACCAGTTAATTAATATAGCTGCTGTGCCACAGAATGTTGACAGGGTTTTAAAAGAAGCAGCAACTTAAAGCAGAGGAGATGTTGACATCTGAGTGTCCACAAACACAGGAGCTGTGAGAGGGGAGGAACCCAAAGATTGGAAATTACTGTGTTCAGATGACAAAGAAGCTACTGAGTTGGGGTTCATTTGCATGCAAAAAAATCACTTTGGCCTACAGTCAAAGGATATACTTCAGGCTCAGACAGAAAGCACCTTCATTCCTAAGAGGACAGGAGAGCTATGAGAACATGTTCTCTTTTACTTAAGAAGTATCATAGAGGGTAAAATGACTCTCAGTTTAAACTGTGCTTTAATGACATAATTCCTATTTGCTCTTTAATTAAAGATGTTCTCACCTTACTGGAAAAATTTAAATGTCCATTGAGCATGTGTTCACGAAATGGGTACAAAGGAGAAGAGGTGTGCTAGTCAGAGTACTGGCCCCTCAACAATGTCCAGGTTCAAATCCCCAGAACCTGGGAATATGTTAAGAAACTTTGCCAATATGGCTAAGGACAGGATCTTGTGAGTATCCTGGATTATTCAGCTAGGCTCAGTGTAACCATAAGAGTCCTGGTAAAAAGGAAAGAGGAGTGTCAGAGGAAAAAGATGTGATGATGCCATGCTGCTGGCTTTGAAAATGCAGAAAGGGCTACGACCAAGAATGCAGGCCACTTCTAGAAACGGCAAAGGTGAAAAATGGATTCTCCCCAGGGCCACCAGAAAGAACCAGCCAGGCTGACACCTTGGCTTTAGCCTAGTGAGACAGATTTTGGTTTTCTGGTCTCCAGAAATGTAAGATAATAAATATGGATCATGCCGCCCTGTCCGGGAGGGAGGTGGGGGGCAGCCCCCGCCCGGCCAGCCGCCCCGTCTGGGAGGTGGGGGGCGCCTCTGCCCAGCCGCCCCTTCTGGGAAGTGAGGAGCCCCTCTGTCCGGCCGCCACCCTGTCTGGGAGGTGTACCCAACAGCTCATTGAGAACGGGCCATGATGACGATGGCAGTTTTGTCGAATAGAAAAGGGGGAAATGTGGGGAAAAGATAGAGAAACCAGATTGTTGCTGTGTCTGTGTAGAAAGAAGTAGACATAGGAGACTCCATTTTGTTCTGTACTAAGAAAAATTCTTCTGCCTTGGGATGCTGTTAATCTATAACCTTACCCCCAACCCCGTGCTCTCTGAAACATGTGCTGTGTCCACTCAGGGTTAAATGGATTAAGGGCGGTGCAAGATGTGCTTTGTTAAACAGATGTTTGAAGGCAGCATGCTCCTTAAGAGTCATCACCACTCCCTAATCTCAGGTACCCAGGGACACAAACACGGCGGAAGGCGGCAGGGCCCTCTGCCTAGGAAAACCAGAGACCCTTGTTCACTTGTTTATCTGCTGACCTTCCCTCCACTATTGTCCTCTGACCCTGCCAAATCCCCCTCTCCGAGAAACACCCAAGAATGATCAATAAATACTAAAAAAAATTAAAAAATAAAAAAATCAAATAAATATGGATCATTTTTAGACACTAAGCTTGTGGTAATTTGTGACAGCAGCAATAATAATCTGATAAAGAAGTTTCTAAAAAACAGGGATTCTGGGTATCTAATCTTTGTAGGGGAAACCTCTGATTCTTTGGCCAAAGGCAACCATGAATAACTCAGGGGATGGCCTGCCCCTAATCACAACTTCTGAGTTTGTTGTTTTTCAGCGGGCAAGATCTACCATGCAGTCTATTCCAACTGGAGAACAATAATGAAAACACTGTGCTGGAACGAATCTACTTTTTTAGGATTTGAATGTGCTATATTCACCAAATTGTGACATTGTGATGTGTTCTGGTTTCTGCAGTGCAAGGTGATCCAAGGGAATTTTGCTCACCCAGCATGGAATTCAGGGACCATCAAACAAATGGCATTCTGCTTACAGAGCTTTTCTAAGCTCATTTCTTACAATATTTTTCAGTGTGTGAGTGTGCGTGTGTGTGAATAGAATAAAAATATTTTACTAGTGATTATCTGAACATGATTAAATAGAATTTCACCTCAGAATAATTCTGTATTTTACAGTACTGATGAGAGATTTGCAAAAAGGATACATCTACAAGTGAAAATTGTGAATTAGAAAATACTAATATTCTAACATGAAGAATTTAAATTCTATTATAAGCATACAATGAAATATTGTACAATTATTAAAAATTATAAAAGATTATTTATTAACATGGAAAATATTCATGATTTATTAGAAGTTGAAAATTCATGTAGAATATAGAACTTTATGATATTTCTGGCATATATGATTAGAAAAATTGTAAGGATACATGCATCTAAATGGTGATAATTTTTTGTTGGTGTGATATGACTGGAGATTATGTATTATTTCTTTATACTTTTTATCAAGCATGCTACATATATATAAATATGTATATATGTATATGTCACTAGAAAATATATATATATATATATATATATATATATATATATCACCAGAAAAAACATTTTAATTAAAACTCTTAGGAGAAGCCTAGAAAGACCACTGCAATTTGGCGGTTTGCCATAGTTGCACGCTATGAGGGGGCTTTGCTATAAAGACACTTTGGGCATAAGTGTCCTGCTTTTCCTAAGTGGTGATAACACAAATGAAGCTTCTGTGGCCTCACAGGACAAACTCTTTCCGAGCAAATTCATCAGGCCTGCAGTTTAGCATTGCTTTGCTACAACACTGCATATTCAAAAATGGTAACTCTGGCACTCAGTCAACTCCATGATTCCAATGGACAGAGTCTAACAGTTCCTCTCACGGTCACTTAACAATAATAACAATAACATCAGAAGCAACAGTGTATTTTATTGAACACCTACTACTTATCAGCCACTACACCAGTCCCTTTACTCATATTGGCCCAATCCTTATGCCAACTCTGCAATTTAAATTATTATCTTATTCTAACATAAAACAGAGCTGAAATTCAGATTCTAAAGTAACCTGCCAGGGCAAGATATGCCATACATTGGTCTCAAACTATAACTCATTGACTTTACATTTTATGCTTTTACTGATGTACTATGTTATTAAACGTGTGTGTATGTGTCTGTGTGTATATGTACAGTTACCACTCATTGAGCACTTACAATATGATATGCGCTATACTTTTGTTTTATCATAGCAACCAAATGAAGCGAGTTGTATTCTCCCTACTTTGCAGATGTGAAAACTGTAAGTCTAAGAGGTCAATTTATTTGGCTGAGGACACATAGGTAGCAAACAACAGAGCTGGCTTTTTGCCCAAGTTTGCTGCTCCCAGTGGTCACTCTTATTATCACAGCCTGACCCTGAGAGCATATATTCCCTCAATTACCTGTAGGCTCTGGCCCCCAACGGCCTATCACTAAGTTTAAACTCTGGGCTGCCTCAGCCAAGGAGAGAGAAAGTGGCCCTTTTTCCTGCCTCAAAGTTTGCTGTTCTGTGACTTATCCCCTGGCAGCTACCTTCCTGTGCCTGAACTCTCCCAGACAACTACTCTACTACCTGCCTACAACCTCTCCTGCCTTGACTGGTTTCCTCAGAATAAACCTATCTATGTGAGCCTGTAGTGGCCACCACATTCCAGTCCTGATCATTCTTCAGGATATAACTTCTGGTTCTTCTAATGGAGCTCCTGGCAGGCCTTTCTTGACTGTCCAAGTTCCTGCCTTGCCCCTGGTAAATATCCCTGCCCCATATATCCAATAATGGGGTGACATTATATGAAAGTACTTTAACACCTTTTTTGCTATGTAAGTATTCATACTGTCCAGGGCAGAAACACCTAAACAAGTGAAAGGCCACATATCCAGTACGTTATTAAGTTAGCCTCCAGATCAAACAATGTGGAACTCATGAGCTACGATCCAAACAAAAAAATCATCATGGAAGACACAGTGATGCTATATCATGCAAGGCTATTATGCAGAAATATCAATGCCACTGATGTTGATGAATGACCCAGAACAGCACAAATAGCAAATTGCCATTTGAATGTCAAATTTTCAGCTTCCGAGGCAGAAACTATTATCTCTCTAACTAGTCTGAACGACCCCGGAGCTGTGCATCCGACTCTTGAGTAAGGTATCATTCCATGTCTTCAGGCTCACAAAGAGCCTCAAGGTTGCTCTTGCCTCACAGAGCATGAAATATTTCACTGATTATCGCTCGGTGGCAGATTTAACATTTTTAATGTAACTTCTAATACACAAGATGAATCTTCCACTTTTAAATTCTCTAATAGAATCAGAGACTCTTGGCCCTGCAGGGCTCTTAAGAGGTCATGCAATCCATCCCTCAGCTTGCAGGCAGGTCCACACTTATCCTCTCAGACATGTGACAATCCTTCTGATTTTAGAAGACTTTGCAGCCAGGATGCTTTAACAAATTCCCTCCATGCACGTGAAATGTTAACAGCTTTCACTCTCAGGAAATTTTCTTTTGCCTTTAACCTAAAGCCTTGATGCTTCTTTTTCAGCACATTGTTATGAAATCGCATGTACTCTTTTATTTTATGGTTTCCAGCATTTCCTCTTCTCTCTTTTTCTTACATAATAGTAATCTTCACATTTTATTATAATTTTCCATCTCCTTAGCAGATTGTTAGTTCTGTATAGGAATTAGATCTTTTCATAGACCTTTTCTTACATCTCAAGCTTCTAGCAAAAGGTGTGCTAGCACCCTTGCTTAGCCCTATTGTAGAACTTAGGATATTGGTTAAAATTCCTTACTTATTTTCTCTCTGTCACTATCTTCCCCATTCAGAGCTGTCCGAGCAAGGGAAAGAAATAAGTATATTTAACCAAAAACATACATATTTTGAAGCTCTTAGAGAATACTTTCTCTTTGTAGCGTATACAACAGACAAATAACATAAATTGCTTCCTTTAGTGAGTCCTCAAAAGGAGTCTCAAATCCCTTCATCACAGGGTAAGATTTCCCGGCTTCAGATCCATCACAACAGCACTCATCTATCATACATTCTGACAGGCAAATATGACCTAGGTCTCCAGTCAGGCAGTTGCAATAAGCTATTGATTAAAATAGAGCTACACTGTTTTAAAATCTATTGTTCGACCATTTTTTCTGACCTAAAATTGGGTATTCTGGTTAAAACAATTAACCTGATTTATGCAGTCATTTCCAGGGTACCATATAGTTAGAGAAAAATAGTAAGTGTTATATTTGGGGATGCTATGCTATTAATACTATTCTATTTATGTATAAGTAATATTATGCTCCGATCCTTTCAGAAATAATTTAAATAACTTAAAAACATTTCTTATAGATGGCTACATTAAAACAGTGAAAAAAAAGAAACCAAGAGTAACTATAGAGAAATGAAGAAAAGGTTGTATATGAAAATAAGAATGAAATAATTACTGTCATTGGGAAGTCAAAACAAAAAGTTATAGATTTAGAATTTCTCAGTAACAGATAACCTAAATTATATTGATAAATAAAGGAAAGCCTAAACAGACACCTGAGAAGCAAATATTTCCCCAGAATTAAATTATAACAGGAATCTACAGGGTGATTTCTTATTTTTAAAAATGAATAAAATTTTAAGACATTGTTTCAACACCTGGCTTGCAGAAGTTGAAGAAACATACTTCAGATGGTAATTCTATGTATTGGCTTTTGACAAAAGACAACAAAATCCACTAGATTAAAAACCTCAGGTTTGGCAATGACTTCTTAGGTAAAAACCAAAAGCACAACCCATGAAAGAAAAAAAATGTTTGACTTCATTAAAATTACAAACTACTGCTCTACCCATGGAAGAAAAAAATTATGAACTTCTGCTCTGCCCATGAAAGAAAAAAAAGTCTGACTTCATTAAAATTACAAACTTTGGTTAAAAGAATGAAAAAACAAGCCACACACTGAAGAGAAAATATTTCCAAAATACAAACTAATTAAAAAAAAACCTAGGATCTAAAATATACAAAGAACTATTAAAACCGAACAATAAGGAAATGAACAACCTGGTTTTTAAAATAGGAAAAGATCTGAATAGACACCTCACCGAAGAAGATATAGGACATAAGGTAGGATAGGAAAGGAAATAAGCATTTGAAAAGATACTCAACATCATATGACACCAGGAAACTGCAAATTAAAACAATAATGTGATACCACTACACATCTGTTAGAATGGTTAAAATTCAAAACACTGATATCGCCAAATGCTGATGAGGATGGAAAGCAATAGGAACTCTCATTCATTGCTGGTGGGAATGCAAAATGGTATGGCCACTTTGGAAAACAGTTTGGTAGTTTCTTAAAAAACTAAACATACTGTTACCATATGATCTAGCAATCACGTTCTTTGATATTTACCCAAATAAGCTGAGAACTTCCACACAAGAGCATGAACACAAATGTTTGTAACAGCTTTATTTATCATTGCCAAGACTTAGAGGAACCAAAATGTCCTTCAATACACCTGTGTGAATGAATAAACTGTAGTGCATTCATATAAAGGAATACTGTTTATAAATAAAAATAAATTAGCTATCAAGTCACAAAAAGACACCAAGGAACCTTACATGTATAGTACAAAGTGAAGGAAGCCCATCTTAAAAAGCTACATGGTTTAAAGTTTCAACTACATGACTTCAGGGAAAAGCAAAACTATGGAAACAAAAGATCAGGGTTTCACGAGGGGAGTGGGAGTGGGAGCGAGGAAGAATAAATAGGTGGAGCACAGGGGATTTTTAGGCCAGTGAAACTATTGTGTATGATACTGTAATAGTGAATACAAGTCATTATACATTTGTCAAAACCAATACAATGTACGCCACAAACAGTGAACTATAATGTAAACTATGGACTTTAGTTAATGATAGTGTATTGTTTGTGGTTCATCAATTGTAACAAATAGACCACAGTAATACCAAATGTTGAGGGTAGGGGAAATTAGTTGGGGGTGAGAGGTACAGGGAATTGAGGAGACATATGGGAAATCTCTGTACTTTCCACTCTATCTTTCTGTAAACCTAAAAAAAAGTACACTAATTTTTAAAAATTCATTAATGGCTAAGCTTACTTAGAGTAGGTACTTTATCATAATCTAACTTGATACAAGAAAGAAGTTAGAGAACCTAGAAGAACAATAACTATGATCAATTTCAGTACTATTGACATTTGGGGCCTAATAATTCATTGTTTGGAGCAGGGTGAAAGAGGCTGTCCTGTGTATATTTAGCAGTATCCCTATCCTCTTATCAACTTGATACTGGGAGCAGCCTCCAACTCAAGGTATGACAACTGAAACTGTCTCCAGACATTGCCAAATTTCCCCTAGTGGGGCAAAATCAGCATCAGTTGAGAACCCTGTTTTAATGCTCTCTCTCTCAAATATCTACTGTATCAAATCCACTTTCAACAAGAGCTGAGTAACAGGTAATTGAAGATTCAACTATCTATTAAAAGGGCAGATATCTTGTGCTATTGATTAAAATACGTTTAGATGTCAATCATATTAAAGAGTAGTCTACTATTTTATAAATATATATGTAAACCAGTTTATTCTTGTCAGTTTTGCTTTGCAATTCTAGTCTCTACATCCTTCCTCACCCTACAGTGAAGTTATTTGTCCCTCTGAAATAAGTTCAGTCACACCTCAGTTTCCATAGTTTCCAGGTTCCTCTGGTCCTTCCCTTGTAGTCCAGACCAATGAATGGGCTTATATTTTCTTCCTGATGAACATCTGCTTACTATTCCAAATCTGAGCACAGCAGAATATTTATCCACACTGCTGAAAATATTAACATGCTGAATAGGTTTATGTATTATTTTCCATTTGAATACTAGAAGAGAGCTGTAAAAAGCAACTTTTAGGAGATGTTGAGCTCTTCTTTCTAACTCTGATAAGCCAACAGATTGATTTGATTTTGAATTCTTTCCAGGTCCTTTTTCTGTGCCCAGAAACAAACTTAATTTTCCACTATATGAGGGAAAAAAACAAGCTCTCCCCATGCCCCAATAACTCCTTCAATTTTCTTCCTTCTTTCCCTTTTATTTACTAAAACCCCTCTTGAAGAAGTAGGCTACTTCAGTGTATCTACCTTCTCAATTCCATTTATGCCCCATCCCATTTTATCTTTCATTTCCTCCAGTTCACTGAAATTGCCCTGCAAATATCCCCAATGATCACTTGACTAAAAACTGCAATGACGTATTTTCAGACTTCACACTAACATCTGCTACTACATCTTCTTGTTATCTTTGAAACTTTCTCCTTTTTTCAGCTTCTGGAATACTATTGTCTTCTTTTTCCTATTTCCACAAATATTCATGTTTCAGTTCAGACATTCTTTGCACATGTCTTAAACTCCAACCATCAGTTTTCCACACTTTGTTGCTTTGCTTTTAATTTACATGATCATTCTAGTTATCTCATACACTTGACCAACAACAGGTTTATTCATTCCACCCACCTTCAAAACCAATTAATGAATACACAAAGAAAAAAAATCTCTGTTCCTTCTTCTCATTTCTGCATTTACAATGTGGGTTAATGTTATCACCTTTGCCCAAAGTAGAAATGCACTAGTTTTCTTTTATTCTTACCTTTCCACAACCATCATACTCAATCAAACTTCAGGCCCTATCTCAAAATTTTTTATTCTTTCCTTTTCATTTTCATTGCCTTGACTGAGATCTCAGATACTATCTCTTACTGTGGTAACAATACGGCAACCCAACAATCAGAAGATCTTTCTAAATATAAATATGATCTTGTTAATTTCCTGCATATCATCCTCCTTTGACTTCTTTTTACTCTGTCCAAAATGCATTATCATGCTACATATGGGTTTTCACAATCAGTTTTTGACATGCCTATTCAATCTCATAGTACAGTTTTCCGTGCCATATAACTCAGGCTTTGGTCATATTCCAGTCCCTCTATTTAAAATGTCTTTCCTTTTCTTTCCTTTGTAGGAAAATTTCTACTTTTTATTAAAAATTTTTGTGGGTGCATAGTAGGTGTATATATTTATGGGGTACATGAGATATTTTGATACAGGTATGTGATACACAATAATCATATAAGGGTAAACGGGGTATCCATCACCTCAAGCATTTATCTTTGGGTTACAAACAATCCAGTTATATATACTCTTTTAGTTATTTTTAAATATAGAATAAATTATTGTTGACTGTAGTCACCCTGATGTGCCATCAAATACTAGATATTATTCATTCTTTTTTTGTATCCATTAATCATCCCCACTTTGCCCCACCGGTTCCCCCCACCTACCCATCTCAGCTCTGATAATCATCATTCTACTCTCTATATCCATGAGCTGAATTGTTTTAAATTTTTAGCTCCCATAAATAAATGAGAACATGTGGGCAGGGCGCGGTGGCTCACGCCTGTAATCCCAACACTCTGGGAGGCTGAGGCGGGCAGATCATGAGGTCAGGAGATCGAGACCATCCTGGCTAACACGATGAAACCCCGTCTCTACTAAAAATACAAAAAATTAGCTGGGAGTGGTGGCAGGCACCTGTAGTCCCAGCTACTCAAGAGGCTGAGGCAAGAGAATGGTGTCAACCCAGGAGGCCGAACTTGCAGTGAGCCAAGATCGCACCACTGCACTCCAGCCTGGGCGACAGAGTGAGACTATGACTCTGAAAAAAAAAAAAAAAAGAGAGAACATGTGAAGTTTGTGTTTCTGTTCCAGGCTTAGTTCACTTAACATAATGACCCCTAGTTCCATACATATTCTTGCAAATGAAAGGATCTCATTCTTTTTTATGGCTGAATAGTACTCCATTGTGTATATTTGCCACATTTTCTTTATCCATGTATTTGTTGATGGACAGTGAGATTGGTTAAAATTCTTAGCTATTGTGAATACTGCTGCAATATACATGGGAGTGCAACTACCTCTCCAATATACTGATTTCCTTTCTTTGTGCATACGCCTTGCAGTGGGATTGCTGGATCACATGGTAGTTCTATTTTTAAAGGAAACCATCTCCATAGTGGTTGTGCTAATTTACATTCCCACCAACAGTTTACAAGGGTTCCGTTCTCTCCACATTCTCACCAGCATTTGTTATTGCCTGTATTTTTGAATAAAAGTCACTTTAACTAGGGTAAGATGATATCTCATTGTAGTTTTAATTTGCATCTTTCTGATGCTCAATAATGTTGAGCACCTTTTCATATACTTCGTTGTCACTGAAAATTTCTACTTTTAATTTAAAATCTAAACTAGCATAGTGGCTCACATCTGTAATCCCAACAATTCTAAAGGCTGAGGCAAGAGGATTACATGAGGCCAGGAGTTCAAGACCAGCATAGGCCACACAGCAAGTTTTCATGTCTTTAAAAATGCTAAATGCTAACAACTCCATGAAGTCTTCTTTTCCTTACAAACTCCTCATTATTCCGCCTTTGTGCTTTCACCACACTCTGCCCACACCTCCTTTATTGCTTTGTATTTTAAAGTAATGTCATTTTATTTTACTGGTTGCTATCTCTCAATAAAATGTGAGGTGCTTGAAAGTTATATATTTTTTAACTGTGAATTTTTCTGCAGTACCTTGTAATATTAATTACTCAATAAACACTTGTAAAATAAACACATAAATAATATAATCATTATAAAACAAACTTATTTTCTTCAGCTTTCCCTAGCAGAAGGGCATGGATCCAATTCATCTAAAATGCAACCAAGTCATTTATATATGTGTTTAAAACATAACAAACTGGAATAAAGTAATCATTTGCTGCACTTAAAATTGAAGACTATTCCCATCCATACAGATTCTATTATTAATAATTGAGAATAGGAGTTGAAATAAATTTATAAATTATTCCATATAAGAGCATAGGATTTAGAGCATAGATACTTTCTGTGGAATCAGCAGTACATACCAGATCAATGGAGAAAAAGTCTTCCTTTGATTTTAATTGACTTCACAGAAAGATAAAGTGATATAACAATGATCAACAGGAAAACTGATGTACTTAAAACTTTCTTACTCTTCATGAAAGATATGAGATTGAGAGACTCGTTTTTGCAAACTAAAAAAAAAAACTCTAAACAAATAATGAAATTTTTGTTTGTTATTAATTTTTGACAAGAAAATATCCTTTCTAGAAAAGTAATAAGCTCTTCTTTGCAACTATTCCTCAGAAACAGATGTTTTATCTTATTTATCTTTAAAGGTCAGGGTTGATCTAGAGACATGGAACTTATGAAGGGCTTAATGAATGTTCACTGAGTCCATAAATGAAAGAAAGTGAAGTGAAGGTAACTATACCATATGTATAAATAAATATTTATTTTTCAAATTAAAGTGTTAATAGTTTTCATCCCCAAAGTTCCTCTCAGGTATCCTCTTTCACTGTGAATTAATTTTCAATAATTCAATCAAAAAATACGAAGTTGTTCTATAATTAAGTACTTGTATTCAGTTTGGGGAAAAGAAAAATGAGTAAGAGATGCTCCTGATCTTCAAAATAACTCATATGAACTACTAAAGGAAATAAAAGATGCTTGCAATATGGAACATTATTTAATGTTTGTTCTAGAGAACACCAGTGTCTCAGATATTACTCCTGCCCACAAAATGTGATCCCATCCTGAGAATGAGAGTTGAAAATGGTCAATACTGTATCTTAGAGATTCACAATGACAATAGCGAATTAAAGTTTCTGAAACAATATGCAGCAAGGAACTATCATTAACCTACAAATCACCAAGTGTATTTGATGAAAAATGTTCTTTGTATAGCACCTACTAATATACAGCTTCAGCGAGTATACTTTAGAAAGTGGTCAAATAGCATTAAAAAGTCCCATAAAGCAGAAAATTTCATGAGAGCAGAGAGGAGAAAAACAGAGGAGGACCTGCCTCTGAGTCAGCCTAATGAAGGCAGACAGCTGGGAGGATGTGGACAGGACACTCCATAGTGGAAAACCTTATACGGAATTAGAGGTTTATAGGTGTAATGAGAAAAAACCAACATCTATTAAGTCTGAAGAAATGACTCATATGTTCATCAAGATAAATTATGTTTCCCTAATTTCAAGTTTACATTCATTCTTAGGTCCTAGGAAAACTTAAGATTTTGCAACTAAGAAATATCACTTTGTGTGAGAATGTGAAAAGATCTAAAATTCACTTTCAGTTCCACCTAGAGCTACTTTGGTTCTTCTCTGATAACCCTCACAGATTAACTGCACCTTCTCCCTAACTCTGAGAAGTGAACCATCATAAGCCAAATTTAGGGATTTAAACTGTATTTCATCCTTTGTGCCTCTAAACTTGTAATAGTGACCTTCCTTGTATGCTAAGAAGATTTAAATGTGTTTGTAATGGTGCTGCCTTCCTCATCCTTTTCTATCCAAATTCTGCTCAAGAGTCTGCTAATATCTGACACCTGCAAATTGACATCTCTACTGGCCTGGGTATATGTTTAGTTCCCATTTGCATGGAGACTCTTGTTTTGTACTGTTTCATGTTTGCATCCAAACATGATTTGCTACCTGTGGGTCTCCCTGATGCACAGAAAAAAAAAATGGTGTATAAACTAACAATAACAAGCAGTGAGGAAAGGACTCCCTATTCAATAAATGATGCTGAGAAAACTGGCTAGCCATATGCAGCAGACTGAAATGTGACCCCTAACTTTCACCATATACAAAAATCAACTCAAGATTAATTAAAGACTGAAATGTAAAATATAAAACTATAAAAACCCTAAAGGAAAGCCTAGGAAATACCATTCTGGACGTGCATACATATCCTAGGAAATACCATTCTGGCAAAGACTTCATGACAAAGACTCTAAAAGCAATTGCAACAAACCCAGAAATTGGCAAGTGAGACCTAATTAAACTAAACAGCTTCTGCACAGCAAAAGAAACTTTCATCAGCATGAAGACACAACCGACAGAATGGGAAAATATGTTTGCAATCTATCCATCAGACAAAGGTCTAATATCCAGCATCTATAAGGAATGTAAATAAATCAACAAGCAAAAAATGAACAACACCCAAAGTGGGCAAAGTACATGATCAGACACTTCTCAAAAGAAGACATACATGCAGTCAATAAGCATACGAGAAAATGCTCAATATAATTAATCATTGGGAAAATGCAAATCAAAACCACAATGAAGATACCATCTCATACCAGTCAGAATGGCTACTATTAAAAAGTCAAAATAAAAAGCCAGGCACGGTGGCTCATGCCTGTAATCCCAGCACTTTGGGAGGCCAAGGCGGGTGGATCGCTTGATGTCAGGAGTTCAAGACCAGCCTGGGCAACACGGTGAAATCCAGTCTCTACTAAAAATACAAAAAAAAAAAAAAAAAAAAAAAAAGAAGAAATTAGCTGGGCATGGTGGCGGGTGACTGTAGTCCCAGCTACTTGGGAGGCTGAGGCAGGAGAATGGCGTGAACCCGGGAGGTGGAGGTTGCAACCAAGATCGTGCCACTGCACTCCAGCCTGGGCAACAGAGTGAGACTCCGTCTCAAAAAAAAAAAAGTGAAAAAATAACAGATGCTGATGAGTTTGCAGAGAAAAGGGGACACTTGGTGGTGGGAATGTCAATTAGTCCAGCCACTGTGAAAAGACACACTTATGAACCCAACCTGCTTCTTTGCACCTTTTAAAGCTATGCACACCAAATCCACTGTCAGAGTTTCAGAGTTCTTTTTGTCCCATTCATAGACTAGCTGGGAAGAGGGAGACTGTCTTCCAAGCCTGTTTTTCCTTCCTATGTTCTAAGAACACATATTCTCTTTCTAGGAGTTTATTAATAATTGCTGTGAGGAAACTAATGGAACAAAATAAAAGAGAACAAACATAGGATAGTGAAAAGATGTTTAAAAGTCTTAAAAATTCATGAAGCCATAATTTTGACACTAGATAATAATGCTGCTTTGCATAGAGCATTTGCACGTATTCCCAGAGAATAAGTGCTTGTCTACATACTCTGAAACCATTTAACTATGTAAACTAGCATAAACCATTTTCAATGACTGTACCTAAAGCAATAGAAGAAGACAGGTTACTAAGAAGATATTGCCAAATAAAGGTGAATTAATATTACATCTTTTATTTCAGTAGAAGTCTGCAAAGTCTGAGTGTCCAGAAAAACCATAGAACATCTCATATAGAAATTACAGAAAAAATTAAACTAAGCTACTTTAAAAGTGTCCAAAAGGAATGAGGTCATGTCTTTGCAGGGACATGGATGAAGCTGGAAGCCATTATCCTCAGCAAACTAATACAGAAACAGAAAACCAAACATCGCATGTTCTCATTTATAAGCAAGAGCTGAATGATGAGAACACATGGACCCACTAGGGGAAACAGCACACACGGGGTCCTATCGTAGGGTGGGGCAGGGGGAGGGAGAGCATCAGGAAGAATAGCTAATGGATTCTGGGCTTAATACCTAGGTGATGGGATGATCTGTGCAGCAAACCACCATGGCACACATTTACCTATGTAACAAATCTGCACATCCTGCACAGGTACCCCTGAACTTAAAATAACAGTTTAAGAAGAAAAAAAAAGTGTCCATATGTGTGTCATGAAAGTAGATATCTAGATATTTCTCCATCTGTGTGTATGTGTGTGTTTGTGTGTGTGTGTGTGTGAATTAATTATGAAGCAAGATTAAGATCAGGAGAAAAACATTTTATCACACATGGTGTATAGTTTAGAACTTATTTCTCCTATATTATCTGCAATCAGAAAAGCATATCCATGTTTGTTTCCTGTGAGACTAAATTTTCATAAGAATTGGAAGTAATTAGAAGCTTTGGAAGTAACAAAATTTCTTTTTTAAAAGTCAGAGCTATAGCAAATGGGTGATTTTAAATCCCTCATCCAAGAAGAAGAATTAGTCATTAAGAGGTATGTCCCAGAATATTCTCAGCATCCAGTTAAATACAATCATATGATTTCAAGGACTCCAGGTTAAATCATTTCATAATTGCTGGCTTTCTAATACTATCATTGTTGAACAAAAGTAATTTATCTAAACAAGTTCTTCTTACAGAATGTATGGGATTTCTATATCAGGCTATCTGATGAAAGAATGGATTACATGAGGAGTCAGTCCATGACAAAGAATCACAAGAACTAGTGGCTGTAGAGAATAAGACTAGATGGGGTGAATATTAGTGAGATCATCTTGAAGGTCTGGAACATCAGAGAAGAGAGAAGAGAGTAGGTAATTGGAGGAGGGATGAGGAAGCAGTCACACTGAGAAGCTAGATGGTACATAGCAGTATCAAGCAGTTGCAGTAGCAGAAATGTCTCAGTGTTTTCAAAGGTGTAAGTCCTGGATTGAACATTAGATTTAGAAACAGATTATTTAATAATATTGGTTAGTGAAGATGCCCTGAAGTTTCAAGAAGTGATGTTAAAATTAACTTGCAGATGTAAACCACATGTGAAAGCCTCTTATTCTTCCTTAGGAGGGTGTGCACACAACTATAGGAGGCCTTCCCCTTCAGAGTCCATGTACTCATAAGCCTCCTGCCAAGGAGCCAGGGTATGTCCAGACGGGATACAAACCCTGCAACCATAAGGATTCCCTGCAGTTCATGTGGTCTGCCTTTTTACTTTACATTTACCTCCATCCAAAATAACATGTTGGGTATAATTTAAAATTTAGACATTTTTTCTATTTTTCTTGAAGAACAAATGACTAAGGAGAGGAGAACACCCAAAAACAAATACATTCAAGTTTTGAATTAGTAGAGCAATGTAAATCAATTTGATTAGTTTTATTCTAGAGGCAGGCTAACATAAAATACTTTTAACAGCCTCGTGGTGAATCCTCTACCGTGCGGCCCTTTGAGAAGTTTTACCTGAACAAAAGTAACTGTTCATTCACACACCCCAAAAAATCAATCTGGAAGAGCACTTTTTGAGTAAAGGTTCCCACCTGTTTCTTTCTAAATTCATAATGTGAGATGTTTGGCCAATGCCAAAAGATTCTATGGAGATTGAGAAGTTCAGTGTGCTCATTTCTTGCATAAGTAATACTGGAAATAGGGTAAGAGTATCAGTACAGTAATTCTGCAAAGCTGTCTTCAGAGTCATGACATTTGCTTCTAGAAAGAAGGTAGAAGAAAATGGTTTAGAGAAACCAAAGTAGTTAAAAGTGTTACTATTCATATGTCAAATGAGACAACATCATAAGGTTCACAAATGATTGAGAAACCAATAACTCTACAATGAAAACTATGCACAATGATGCCTTAAAATAAAAAAAAAAAAAAAAGAAGAAGTCGGAACGTTTCAACAGAGGCTGGCAAGATAGCCAAACAGGAACAACTCTGGTCTGTAGCTCCCAGAGAGATCAATGCAGAAGGCGGGTGATTTCTGCATTTCCAACTGAGGTATTCAGCGCATCTCACTGGGACTGGTTAGAAAGTAGGTACAGCCCACAGAGGGTGAGCCATAGCAGGGTAAGGCGTTGCCTCAATGGAGAAGCACAAAAAGTCAGGAAACTCCCCCCCAGCCAAGGGAAGCCTTGAAGGACCTTGCCATGAGGAACTGTGCATTCTGTCCCAGATACTACGCTTTTCCCATGGTTTTCACAACCTGCAGAACAGGGGATTCCCTCAAGTCCCTACATCACCAGGGCCCTGGGTTTCAAGCACAAAACTGGACAGCCATTTGGGGAGACACCGAGATACCTGCAGAACTTTTTTTTCATACCCCAGTGGCACCTGGAATGCCAGCAAGACACAACCATTCACTCCCCTGGAAAGGGGACTGAAGTGAGGGAGCCAAGTGGTCTAGCTCAGTGGATCCCACCCCCATGGAGCCCAGCAAGCTAAGATTCACTGGCTTGAAATTCTCGCTGCCAGCAAAGGAGTCTGAAGTCGACCTGGGACTCTCAAGCTTAGCTTGGGGAGGGGCATCCACCATTACTGAGACTTGAGTAGGCAGTTTTCCCCTCACAATATAAACAAAGCCTCCAGGAAGTTCAGACTGGGTGGAGCCCACCACAGCTCCACAGAACCACTGTAGCCAGACTGCCTCTCTAGATTCCTCCTCTCTGGGCAGGGTATCTCTGAAAGAAAGGCAGCAGTCCCAGTCAGGGGCTTATAGGTAAAACTCCCATCTCCCTGGAACAGAGCACCTGGGGGAAGGGGTACCTGTGGGCACAGCTTCGGCAGACTTAAACGTTCCTGCCTGCAGGCTCTGAAGAGAGCAGCGGCTCTCCAAGCACAGCACTCGAGCTCTCCTAAGGGACAAACTGCCTCCTCAAGTGGGTCCCTGACCCCTGTGCCTCCTGACTGGTAGACACCTCCCAGCAGGGGTCGACAGACACCTCATACAGGAGAGCTTCAGCTGGTATCTGGTGGGTGCCCCTCTGGGACAAAGCTTCCAGAGGAAGGAAGAGGCAGCAGTCTTTGCTGTTTTGCAGTTTCTGCGGTGATACCCAGGCAAACGAGGTCTGGAGTGGACCTTCGGCAAACTCCAGCAGACCTGCAGCAGAGGACCATGACAGTTAGAAGGAAAACTAACAAATAAAAAGGACCAGCATCAGCATCAACAAAAAGGACGTCAACAGAGAAAACCCATCTGAAGCTCACCAACATCAAAGACCAAAGACTGAGGTAGATAAATCTACATAGATGATGAAAAACCAGCACAGAAAGGCCGAAAATTTCAAAAACCAGAACGCCTCTTCTCCTCCAAAGGATCACAACTCTTCACCAACAAGGAAACAAAACTGGAAGAAAAATTAGTTTGACAAATTGACAGACGTAGGCTTTAGAAGGTGGGTAATAACAAACTCCTTTGAGCTAAAGAAGCATGTTCTAACCCGATGCAGGGAAGCTAAGAACCTTGTAAAAAGGTTAGAGGAATTGCTAACTAGAATAACCAGTATAGAGAAGCAAATAAATGACCTGATGGAGCTGAAAAACACAGCATGAGAATTTCACGAAGCACACACAATTATCAATAGCTGAATCAATCAATGGGAAGAAAGGATATCAGAGACTGAAGATCAACTTAATGAAATAAAGCATGAAGACAAGATTAGAGAAAAAAGGATGAAAAGGAAGGAACAAAGCCTCCAAGAAATATGGGACTATGTGAAAAGACCAAACCTACATTGGATTGGTGAACCTGAAAGTGATTAGGAGAATGGAACCATATTGGAAAACACTTTTCAGAGTGTTTATCCTAGAGAACTTCCCCAACCTAGGAAGATAGGCCTGCATTCAAATTCAGGAAACACAGAGAACACCAAAAAAATACTCCTCAAGAATAGCAACCTCAAGACACATAATTGTCAGATTCAAAAAGGTTGAAATGAAGGAAAAAATGTTAAGGGCAGCCAGAGAGAAAGGTCAGGTTACCCACAAAGGGAAGCCCATCAGACTAACAGTGGATCTCTCTGTAGGAACTGTACGAGCCAGAAGAGAGTGAGGTCCAATATTCAACATTCTTAAAGAAAAGAATTTTCAACACAGAATTTCATCTCCAGCCAAACTAAGATTCATAAGTGAAGGAGAAATAAAATCCTTTACAAACAAGCAAATGCTGAGACGTTATGTCATGACCAGGCCTGCCTTACAAGAGCTCCTGAAGGAAACACTAAATATGGAAAGGAAAAAAGTGTACCAGCCACTGCAAAAACATACCATCTTGTAAAGACCATTGACACTATGAAGAAACTGCATCAACTAATGGGCAAAATAACCAGCTAGCATCATAATGACAGGATCAAATTCACACATAATATTAACCTTAAATGTAAGCGGGCTAAATACCCTAATTAAAAGACACAGACTGACAAATTGGATAAAGAGTCAAGACACATCAGTGTGCTGTATTCAAGAGACCATCTCACTTGCAAAGACACACATAGGTTCAAAATAAAGGGATGGAGGAATATTTACCAAGCAAATGGAAAGCAAATAAAAGCAATAGTTGCAATCCTAGTCTCTGATAAAACAGACTTTAAATCAACAAAGATCAAAAAAACAAAGAAGGGAATTACATAATGGTAAAGGAATCAATTCAAAGAAGAGCTAACTATCCTAAATATATGTGCACCCAGGAGCACCAAGATTCATAAAGCAAGTGCATAGAGACTACAAAGAGACATAGACTTCCACACAATAACAGTGGGAGACTTTAACACCCTACTGTCGTGCATAGAAACTACAAAAAGACTTAGAGTCTCACACAATAACAGTGGGGGACTTTAACACCCCACTGTCAACATCAGACAGATCAATGACAAAGAAAATTTACAAGGATACTCAGGACTTGAACTCAGCTCTGGACCAAGTAGACCTAATGAGAGGTGACAACATGCTAGCAGCCCTCGCTCATTCTTGGTGCCACCTCGGCCTCAGCATCCACTCTGGCCGCACTTGAGGAGCCCTTCAGCCTGCCGTTGTACTGTGGGAGCCCCTCTCTGGGCTGGCCAAGGCCGGAGCTGGCTCCCTCTGTTTGCAGGGAGGTGTGGAGGGAGAGGCACGGGCAGGAACCCCAGCTGTGCGTGGGTCTGCGGGCCAGCATGAGTTCCAGGTGGGCGCGGGCTTGGCGGGCCCTGCCGTCGGAGCGGCTGTCCAGCGCCGCCAACCTGGGCTGTGAGGGGCTTAGCACCTGGGCCAGCAGCTGCAGAGGGTGCGCCAGGTCCCCCAGCAGTGCTGGCCTGCCAGCACCGTGCTCGAATTCTCACCGGGCCTTAGCTGCCTCTCCGCAGGGCTGGGCTCAGGACCTGCAGCCGGTCATGCCGGAGCCTCTCCCCAACCCCCACCGTGGGCTTCCGCGTGGCCCGAACCTCCCCGACTGACACTGCCCCCTGCTCTGTGGTGCCCAGTCCCATCGACCACCCAAGGACTGAGGAGTGCGGGCGCACGGCACGGGACTGGTGAGCAGCTCCACCCATGGCTCTGGCATGGGATCCACTAGGCAAAGCCAGCTGGGCTCCTGAATTGGGTGGGGACTTGCAGAATTTGTATGTCTAGCGAAAGGATTGTAAATGCACCAATCAGCACCCTCTGTGTAGCTCAAGGTTGGTAAACACACCAATCAGTGCTGTGTGTCTAGCTTATCTAGTGGGGACGTGGAGAACTTTTATGTCTAGCTGGAGTATTGTAAATGCGCCAATCAGCACTCTGTGTCTAGCTCAAGGTTTGTAAACACACCAATCAGCACCCTGTGTCTAGCTCAAGGTTTGTAAATGCACCAATCAGTGCTCTGTGTCTAGCTAATCTAGTGGGGACTTGAAGAACTTTTGTGTCTAGCTAAAGGATTGTAAATGCACCAATCAGCACTCTGTGTCTGGCTCAAGGTTTGTAAATGCACCAATCAGTACCCTGTCAAAACGGACCAATCAGCTCTCTGTAAAACGGACCAGTCAGCTCTCTGTAAAATGGACCAATCAGCAGGATGTGGGTGGGATCAGATAAGGGAATAAAAGCAGGCTGCCCGAGCCAGCAGTGGCAGCCCGTTCGGGTCCCCTTCCACACTGTGGAAGTTTTGTTCTTTTGCTCTTTGCAATAAATCTTGCTGCTGCTCACTCTTTGGGTCTGCACCACCTTTATGAGCTGTAACACCCACCACGGAGGGCTGCAGCTTCACTCCTGAGGCCAGCAAGACCACGAACCCACCGAGAGGAATGAACAACTCCAGACGGGAGGAACGAAAAACTCCAGATGCACCACCTTAAGAACTGTAACACTCACTGAAAAGGTCTGCAATTTCACTCCTAAAGCCAGTGAGACCATGAACCCACCAGAAGGAAGAAACTCCGAACATGTCCAAACATCAGTAGGAAAAAATTCCGGACACACCATCTTTAACAACTGTAACACTCACCACGAGGGTCCATGGCTTCATTCTTGAAGTCAGTGAGACCAAGAACCCACCAATTTCAGACACACTAATAGACATCTACTGAACTCTCCACACCAAATCAACAGAATATACATTCTTCTCAGCACCTCATAACACTTATTCTAAAAGTGACCACATAATTGGAAGTAAAACACTCCTCAACAAATGCAAAAGAACAGAAATCATAACAAACAGTCTCTCAGACCACAGTGTAATCAAATTAGAACTCAGGATTAAGAAACTCACTCAAAACTACACCACTACATGGAAACTGAACAACCTGCTTCTGAATGACTACTGGGTAAATAACAAAATGAAGGAAGAAATAAATAAGTTCTTTGAATCCAATGAGAACAAACACACAATGTACCAGAATCTCTGGGACACAGCTAAAGCAGGGTTTAGATGGAAATTTATACAACTGAATGCCCATAGGAGAAAGCAGGAAAGATCTAAAATCAACACCCTAACATCACAGTTAAAAGAACTAGAGGACTAAGAGCAAACAAATTCAAAAGCTAGCAGAAGACAAGAAATAACTAAGATCAGAGCATAACTGAAGGAGATAGAGACACAAAAAAACCCTTCAAAATATCAATGAATCCAGGAGCTGGTTTTTTGATAAGATTAACGAATAGATAGACTGCTAGCCAGACTAATAAAGAAGAAAAGAGAGAAGAATCAAATAGACACAGTAAAAAATGATAAAGGGGATATCACAACTGATCCCACAGAAATATGAACTACCATCAGAGAATACTATAAACACCTCTATGCAAATAAACTAGGAAATCTAGAAGAAATGGATAAATCCCTGGATACATACACACCCCCAAGATGAAACCAGGAAGAAGTCGAATCCCTGAATAGACCAACAACAAGTTCTGAAATTGAGGCAGTAATTAATAGCCTACCAATCAAAAAAAAAGCCTAGGACCAGACACATTCACAGCTGAATTCTACCTCATGTGCAAAGAGGAGCTGGTACCATTCTATCTGAAACTATTCCAAACAGTAGAAAAAGAGGGATTCCTCCCTAACTCATTTTATGAGGCCAGCATCATCCTGAGACCAAAACCTGGCAGAGACACAACAAGAAAAGAAAATCTCAGGCCAATATCCCTGATTAACACCGAGGCAAAAATCCTCAATAAAATACTGGCAAACCAAGTCCAGCAGCACATCAAAAAGCTTATCCACCATGATCAAGTTGGCTTCATCCCTGGTATGCAAGGCTGGTTCAACAGCAAATCAATAAACATAATCCTTCACATAAACAAAACCAATGACAAAAACCACATGATTATCTCAGTAGATGCTGAAAAGTCCTTTGATACAATTCAACACCCCTTCCTGCTGCTAAAAACTCTCAACAAACTAGGTATTGATAGAATGTATCTCAAAATAATAAGAGCTATTTATGACAAACCCACAGCCAATATCATACCGAATGGGCAAAAGCTGGAAGCATTTGCTTTGAAAACTGGCACAAGACAAAGATGACCTCTCTCATCACTCCCATTCAAAATAGTATTGGAAGTTCTTGCCAGGGCAATCAGGCAACAGAAAGAAATAAAGTGTATTCAAATAGGAAGAGAGGAAGTTAAATTGTCTCGTTTGCAGATGACATGATTGTATACTTAGGAAACCCCATCATCTCAGCCCAAAATCTCCTTATCTGATAAGCCACTTCAGCAAAGTCTCAGGATAAAAAATCAATGGGCAAACCTCACAAACATTCTTACCCAACAATAATAGACAGAGAGCCAAATAATGAGTGAACTCCCATTCACAATTGCTACAAAGAAAATAAAATGCCTAGGAATACACCTTACAAGGGATGTGAAGGATCTCTTCAAGGAGAACTACAAACCACTGCTCAAGGAAATAAGAGAGGACACAAACAAATGGAAAAACAGTCCATGCTCATGGATAGGAAGAATAAATATCACGAGAATGGCCATACTGCCCAAAGTAATTTATAGATTCAATGCTATCCCCATTAAGCTACCACTGACTTTCTTCACAGCATCAGAAAAAACTACTTTAAATGTCATATGGAACCAAAAAAGAGCCCGCATAGCCAAGACAACCCTAAGCAAAAAGAACAAAGCTGGAGGCATCACAATACCTGACTTCAAACTATACTAAAAGGCTACAGTAACCAAAATAGCATGGTACTGGTAACAAAACAGAGATATAGATCAATGGAACAGAACAGAGGCCTCAGAAATAATGCCACACATCTACAGCCATCTGATCTTTGACAAACCTGACACAAGTAAGCAATGGGAAAAGGATTCCCTATTTAATAAATGGTGTTGGGAAAACTGGCTAGCCATATGCAGAAAACTGAAACTGGACCCCTTCCTTACACCTTATACAAAAATTAACTCAAGATGGATTAAAGACTTAAACATAAGACCTAAAACCATAAAAACCCTAGAAGAAAACCTAGGCAATACCATTCAGGACATAGGCATGGGCAAAGACTTCATGACTAAAACACCAAAAGCAATGGCAACAAAAGCCAAGATTGACAAATGGGATGTAATTAAACTAAAGAACTTCTGCACAGCAAAAGAAACTATCATCTGAGTGAACAGGCAACCTAAAGAATGGGAGAAAATTTTTGCAATCTATCCATCTGACAAAGGACTAATATCCAGAATCAACAAAGGACTTAAACAAATTTACAAGAAAAAAAACAACCCCATCAAAAAGTGGGTGAAGCACATGAGCAGACACTTCGCAAAAGAAGACATACGTGGCATATATGAAAAAAAGCTCATCATCACTGGTCATTAGAGAAATGCAAATCAAAACCACAATGAGATACCATCTCACACCAGTTAGAATGGCGATCATTAAAAAGTCAGGAAACAACAGATGCTGGAGAGGATGTGAAGAAATAGGAACGCTTTTACACGTTGATGGAAGTGTAAATTAGTTCAACCACTGTGGAAGACAGTGTGGTAATTCCTCAAGGATCTAGAACCAGAAATACCATTTGACCCAGCAATCCCACTACTGGGTATATACCCAAAGGATTAGAAATCATTCTGCTATAAAGGCACATGCACACATATGTTTATTGCGCCACCATTCACAATAGCAAACACTTGGAACCAACCCAAATGCCCATCAATGATACACTGGATAAAGAAAATGTGGCACATATACACATGATGGAATACTATGCAGCCATGAAAAATGATGAATTAATGTCCTTTGCAGGGATTTGGATGAAGCTGGACACCATCATTCTCAGCAAACTAACACAGGAACAGAAAACCACAAGTAGGGGTTGAACAATGAGAACACATGGACAACTGGAGGGGAACATCACACATCGGGGCTTGTTGGTGGGTGGGAGGCTAGAGGAGGGATAGCATTAGGAGAAATACCTGATGTAGATGACAGCTTGATGGGTGCAGCAAACCACCATGGCACATATTTACCTATGTAACAAACATGCACGTTCTGCATGTGTATCCCAGAACTTAAAGTATAATTTATAAAAAAAAAAAAAAAAAGTCAATTACTTTCTTGTCAACTAGAGTTATAGGGTAGCGGAGTAGGTAGCAATGTTGACTATTATGTGCTAACACAGCTATTTGGAGAATTTCTCCCTCACTATGAGATTTTACTAATGACATTTAGTAAATTAATAGGTTTAATTCAGTTAAGCAAATAGTAAATAATAATAACAACTTGTTAAAGAATTAAAACAAAGCTCTTTTGCATGGAAATACAGCTCTGCTCCAGGCTATCTTTGACCACTTCTGACAACAAACCCTGTACTCCTATCACCTGTCTTCTCATTCTGCTTTATCACCTTTGTGCCCACTCCTTCACTTGCCTTGGCCACATGTGCCCTCCTCCGTACTGAATCCTCCTTGATTCCCTCAGGCAGAGGGAGTTGCTACTTCCTCCAAGGTTCCATAGCATGTTACAAACTCTTGGTTAAATTTGTGTAATGATTATATCACCATCATCTCAGTAGTTCTGGCAAAACACACCTGAGCTTTTTTTTTCTCACTTGTCTGTTTTATTAATTTCCTATACCCAATTTAATTTTTCTTGCATTTCTACATTCGGTCAATACTTGTTGACTGTTATGTCTAGATCTTCCAAGATCTGTGCTGTCCTCAGCACAATACACTCATAGCTTCCTCATTGTGCCCACTGTCAAAACTCTCTACTCACTTTCCAGGAATCCACAAGTCCAGGCATCAGTTTTTGAAAATGGACTGCTGTTATTTTCAATTTTTAGAACATATAAGCCGGGCACAGTGGCTCAAGTCTGTAATCCCAGCACTTTGGGAGGCTGAGGCGGGTGAATCACCTGAGGTCGGGATTTCGAGACCAGCCTGACCAACGTGGAAATACCCCATCTCTACTAAAAATACAAAATTAGCCGGGCATCATGGCACATGCCTGTAAGCCCAGCTATTTAGGCGGCTGAGGCAGGAGAATCACTTGAAACCGGGAGGCAGAGGTTGCAGTGAGCCAAGATTGCACCATTGCACTCCAGCCTGGGCAACAAGAGCGAAACTGTCTCAAAAAAAAAATTAATTATTTCTTATTCTTTAAAGAGATGAAATTAGAATTCCTTAACATAGCGTAGAAGGCTATTTCTGATCTGACCCTGTCTTATTGTATTTAAGCTCCTATAACAGAACACCATAAGTTGCCTGGCTTATAAGCAACATAAATTTATTTCTCAATGTTCTACAGGCTGGAAAATCCAACATCAAGTTGCCAGCTGATTCAGTGTCTGGTGAGAGCCTGTTTCCTAACTCATAGATGGTGCTTTCTAGCTGTGGACTCATATGGTGGAAGGAGAAAGGGGCCTCTTTGGAGCCTCTTTTACAAAGATACTGATATGGCTTGGCTGTGTTCCCACCCAAAATCTCATCTTGAATTGTGATCCCCATAATCCCCATTTTCAAGGGAGGGACCAGGTGGACGTAATCAGATCATAGGGGCAGTTTCCCCCAAGCTGTCCTCATGATACTGAGTGAGTCTCACAAGATCTGATGGTTTTATAAGTGTCTGGCATTTCCCCTGCTTTTACTTACTCCAGCCTGCCACCCTGTGAATGAGGTGCCTGCTTCTCCTTTGACTTCTGCCACGATTGTAAGTTTCCTGAGGCCTCCCCAGCCATGCTGAACTGTGAGTCAATTAAACCTCTTTCCTTTATAAATTACCCAGTCTCAGGCAGTTCTTTATAGCAGCGTGAGAATGGACTAATACAGATACTAATCCCATTCATGAGAACTCTGTCCTCATGACCTAATAACCTCCTCCTCACAAAAGCTCCCCATACAAATACCATTACATCAGAGACTGGGTTTCCCCATATGAATTTTGGGAGACAAAAATATTCAGTCTATAATAGGCCTTGAAAAGTATCACTGCCAAACTCAGTTTTAATCCATCCCTTGAATACCCTTACTCAAATTCATTCCATTTACTCTTGCCTATAAGCAAGTTCTACCGGGATGGCCCTTTTTCCTTTTTCACACTTTTAAAATCCTGTCATTCTTCAAGACCTTCTACCCCAAACACTACCCCATCCCTCCTCTTCAACTCCTTAATGCCTTTCTCTTCAACCACAATCAGAATTAAGCATTCCTCCTTCTGTGTGCTCCTAATGCTTTGTCACTTTCTCTTCCCAAATGTATGTCCCAGGCCTTGTATTACATTACTTGATAAATAAAATTTAAAATGTCTACATGCTATACCACCTGCTTCTTTCCAGTTGTCTTGTGTTCAATAAAATTATTGTTAAAATAAATTTATTGTAAGATCATTTATCATCCTAAAAGTTTTAAAAAGTAGACTTTGCAATAATTATAATAATACAGAAAATTAAAGGTTTCAACACTAAATGTTTCAGATAAGAATTAGCATTTAATTTACACAGAGTTGCTCTTATACCAGGGCAGAAAGCTCTCTTCCTAAGACAGACTTCTAGTCCAGGCATACCCCTTATGGACAAATAAAGACAGAAATAGAGACACATATACAAGCACAAAATCTATATGTATATTTATTTATATATATAATACATATTCACATATATGTATATGTATACAGATCCAAGACACGTAAGTCATCGCCTCTGGAAAACCCACACCCACCTCATGCCATATTTATCAATGAAATCCAAAAAGAGCTAGGAGTATGGGAAGAACATTACGTGACTGCTAGGGAACCTTCCTGAATATGTGGCTCTGATGATGGCCAAGGGGATCTTAAAATTTTTCCCTCAGCTTGACTAAACTTTATACAGGTTTCTTCCTAACTGCATGTCCCTGACCTCCCTTTTAGAGCATGTACTTGAGAAAACTTGCTATTGTAAATTATTTTTCTGCTCCTTTGAGATGAAATCTCACAGCCTCTTGCCAGTTTACAACCCAGAAGGGTCTTTCTCAAGGACCGGGCAGCCTTTCCTTTGAAATGTAATCATCAAGAAACATAGTATTCCTATCTCCTAATCTCAATAAAAGGGTAGAAACCTAACTTTAATAAGCACCAATTAGCAAACAGATGGCCTAATACATGGACCAACCTCTCTGGTAGTATCCTCCGGTGCTTTTTCACTGGCTTATCCCAGCACTTAGAAATTCTCAGAACTTTTGTTTCAGTGGAGTTCAGTTCAATCTCTTTCATCTTGAAAGTCTTGAACCCTGTTGTAATAGTCTTAAACAAAGTCCTCCATGCCTGTTTCACTTGTCCAGTGCAATTTTTCTCTGACATAACAAGCTGAGCAAGCCAGTGCACTGCTGCTGCCCAGTTAAGTGAGAAGAGTTTTAATGTGTCATCCTCTATTATCCTTTGATAAGAGTTAAACTGGAATGGCAGGTTGTTAATGTTCATCCTCTCTATGATCCTATGACCATATGCAAAGGATAAATGGGAAAAAAAGGAATCCTACCTTATTGTTTCTGGGGATTAAATTCAATTGAAAAAATAGTTTCAAAAATACTAATGGTAATTTGTGCTGAAGGAATTAGTTGTATTCCACTTCTCTCCTCTTTCATAGAATCTGTCTATAAATATAACTATCTCTTTCTTACACTAATGCCATAATAATTGATTATATCTGGGTGCTTGAGGAAAGCATGTTTGATTTACTTTTAACTGAGTTTTACAGTTTAGGGGAAGAGAATGGCATCATTAATTTACAAGACAGCATAGTTGTGTGACTTTCCATAATTCCTAAAATATATTTCCCCAACCATTACATTAGGATACTCTAGCCCATTTTCTTCCAATGTCTATAGTATCAAACAAAGAGTAAAGAGTAAGTTATGAGACCAGGCATGTTAATACTAATGCTCAGCAATTTGGAAGAGTTCAGGTATAAAACCAACAAACAAGATAGAGACAAAATATATTCAAAATAATATTCAAGAATTCCTAAATATGTGTTCTGTGAATCATTTTATGAAACGTATTTAACTCATATATACTCTCCTCTTTTAAATCACTCTTTGAATAGTTCTCCCTTCAGGATAATTTAGAAAGCCCTATATACAGAGGTGGCAATTTGTGATTTATTGCTTATGATGCAAAGAAGGTAAAGCAGAAAAGTTGTTATTCCAGGTTTGAAAAGCAATCCACAAAAGAGTTCTAACATTCTTATCTGAATTACATATTTAAATACGGCTACAAAAGGAATTCTGGATTGAATTTAGATTTTTTAAATTCTAATCATATTTCTTTTGATATTGAAATAAAGTTCTCATGGCATGCCTTTTATCTTCTCATAGTTAAATGCTAAGGACATATGCCCAATTCATGTAAGTGCAATTTTGAAAATTTGAACCAAAAAATTTTATTCGCTGAAATATCAGCAATGATTGTCTCTGAGTGGTGAGATGAAGAGAGATTTTAAATTTCCTTCTCTTTGCTAATTTTTCTTTCTAATCTTTCTATATTAAATATGGATTGATTTTGCAATAAAAAGCTCAACATGCTCAAATAAGTTGGCAGAAGATTATTTATCAAAAAATTTATGAACAGCTTCTAAAAATTCCTCATAGGACTTTTATAAATTGTCAGCTTCCATTCATTATTTAACATATGAATTATCTTCATGAAGTTATTTTTTACACTAGATTTACAAAGTCACATTATTTTCTACAAAAAACAAAGTATAGCAGTTTTTTGAGACATGGTGTTCAGATAGTAATTGTACCCTGTGCTGCGCAAAATAAAGGTGATTTTCAAGATACAAACTACTGACTCAAAAGTGCCTTAAAATCCCTTAGTGGTTCACCACTATGCCCAGGAAGAAATTAAACATTTCTTATATTTGCCTGCAGATTGTGGGCATTGTAATAATGATAATAAAAATAGATGCTAACATTCATTGAATACTTTGTTTCATATATTATGCTAAAGGTTTTGCAAGAATTAATTTCCTTAATTTTGAAAACTACCCTCCAGTAGATATTATCCTTTTTCAGATGCAGAGTCTTACAAGGTACTCCCACATCATTTGTCTGACAGGGTGAGATTAATGGAGTTCAATATCAGTTTCTATACTCTCTGCGATTTGGCCAACTCTGGACCATGGTTACAAACAAAGGGCAGGCTATTAGAAAAATTTTTCTTATGAAAAAGGACCCACTGCTAATGAATGCATTTGCTACTTTCAAAATATTATGCTCACAAGTCATAATGTGATGAAAATACTGCTAACAGACTATTGATCTTGCCAATTTGTTAATAGAAATACATGTTTCATAGTTCACAAATCATTGTCATATGCATAAAATCATTTACTCCTCAAACCAATGGCAGGAAACAGGAATTATTTTACAGATTAGAAAACTAAAATTTACAGATTTAACAGATTAAATGATTTTCCAGTGGTAATACAACAGAAAAGCAGGAGAGCTGAGACACTCAAATACACATTATTCTGACTGACTTCCACTGGTACTCTCTACTATTTTAATACTAATATTTCACTCTAATTCATGATATTATTATCAGTCACCAAGGAACAAAAGAATTACAGTTTGCAAAAGAAGTAATAGTGCTCTTTAGATTGTTCTACTTGTCAAAAATGAGCCAATGACATCCAGTTAAAATCTCATTCAAGCAGAGGTTGCCTCCCCCACTTTCCCATCTATCCAAGTCCCCACAGGGCTTGGAAAGCTAGAGAAGTCACACAAATGCCCAGTGGACAAAGCAGAGGCTACATTGCCCAGGGCAGCTCCTCCTCAAATGCTGAGCCAAGCGCAGCATTCATGATGGGGGAATTTAATTACCTTTCTATGTTATGCATATTTTAAAAATGAAAACTGTGACATCTTCAGGCTAAAATTCCAACAATGCATTTCAATCACAAATTTTAGGTTTCCACTTTGTCTATTGGGCCTGAATATTCAATCTGAAACCAACCACCAAAGAAAGCCATTTGGGAAATAACTGGACAGCGATGAAGCAGGGAGTGAGGCTAGAGTGACATTTCAGCAGCTCACTCGCAGCAATCTTTCCATAAGGGCTTTTGCTGCTGTAGGTCAGGCCTTCTCCAAATTCAGGTCACCAGAGCCTCCTAAGTGCCAGCTGGACTGTGCTCTGAGCTTTCACATGTCACTTCCAAAACAGCTACAACAAAGTATGGTCAGAGAAAGACTTCATTCATTTTCTCCAACAATGTGCAGTGCACTTAAAGACTTCAGAGAATATAATTTAATAGCTGGTAGAAGATGAGAATGTAGAATAAATCAGCACATTCCCTAAAGAATTTTAAAGGCACTATAAAAGGAAAGTCTCCCAGCTCCCTACTAGATCATGTAAGACCTTTCTTGATCTGGATCTTGTCTATTCTGCCCTCCTTCCTCTGTAGCTAGACCCCCACCCTCTAGCCATTTCCACTTTCTTTCTTGTCTCCTACTTTACAACTGTACAACTTCTGCAGTGAAAATATATCTTATGAGTTGGCTTTCTTATGGAGCTCTTGTTTGTGGAGCTGCCATTTTCCATCTCATGCAGAGAAAATTCCCAATCTTCCTTTCTGTCTTCATTTTTCTCAAGGTTGACCTTATCTTACAGTACCTGTCACATGAAATCATCGTCAGTTGTTTATGCATTTGTAAGCATTCCACTAAATGATAAGTTCCACTGAATGATAAGTTTCCCACTTGTGTCATTGTCATCTTCATGGTTCAAGGCCTAGGAAAGTGCCTGGCATTGAATGGAGCCGGTTGAAATGGAACAATGGATAGATAAATCATGTGCACACAATACCATGTATCACTTGATGGTTAAAAGCACAGGACTAAAGCCAAAACTTCTTAGGTTTAAAACCCAGCTCTATCACCTAACAGCTCTGTGATCTTGGACTACTGAACCTCTGTGCCTGTGTTTCCTCATCTGTAAAATGGGCCATTGAATGAATTCAATGAGTTAACAATAATAAACGTAAAGGCACTAAAAGCATACTAGGCCCGCTGTAGATTTCTAACAAAGGGTAGATATAGTCATTATCATTTATCATCATCATCCTTTTCTTCTTATTCTTCTTCCCATAAAATGGCAGTGTAGCACAGGGCCAAGATTTTGAGAGAACTGAATTCAAATCATGCTCCTCTACTTACTAGTTATATGACCTTAAGCAGTTTGCTTAACTTCTCTCCACTTTGGTTTTCTTGTCTCTATAATAGAGATAATAATGGTGCTCACATCATACAACTATTTGGAATGTTACAATTAAATTATGCTTTAACACATTAACATAGAATCTGGCACATGATAAGGGCTCCAGAGTGGTAAGCAATTCACTACTGTGGTTTTTGATCTTAAATCAGTATCAGTATAAAAGTCCTCAGGTATTGCCCTAAGATAAGCACCCTCACCCACTTGACACTTGAGGCATTTGTGCCTCATGTACTGTGAGTGTACAGGAGAAAATCATTGAAGAACTAGAAAATGTGTCACATTTTAGACATAAAGCTAGATAACTTTATGCCCCCAGGTTCTAGTTCTCTAGGAAATAGGACACTCTTCTGAACAGGTTAGAACACATCTACTACCAGTCCTAGGACTGTTTGCACATAGATCCATTTCCAAATTTCTTTGCAGAACTCTATATAACCTGGGGCATGGAAGTAGAAGACTAGCTCTTGAAATGGAGAGATGCCGCAACAAATTGAAGGGAAAAACCAGGGTATTTCTTCCCCTCCTTCTGCCTGGGGCACGTTTATGCCTCCTACATGGTTCTAATTCCCACCAGAGAGGTCCATCCTACTCCCAGCCTCTTTTGGAGTGATCTTGGCCTTGGAATATCAGGTAGTAGTGTCCCCTCCTTTGTCACTCTAGCATAAGTAATAGTTGTTGCTAATTTCTGGGATTACTTGAAGTTTCTTATATAACTCAGCTCAACACATCACCAGTGTAGCAATTCCCTGCACTTATTCCTCTGTGGTTTCTAATTTCCTAATCAGATCCTGACTGGCCCAGTGATCTTCTTTATCCCTTTTTCTTCTTGTCTTTCATTTGATTGATTTAGAAAGTGCCTGATTAGCTTGCCTTATTTCACACATGCATACGTACATACTCATTCACTTCAGGTGCTATCTCCTGTTTGAAAGAAACAGACTCAGATTCCTATGGTCTAGAATAAATAGATCATGTGGTTTGATTCTGAAATGAATTTATCATCTAATGTGTTTGTTCTCAACTGGGGAATATTTTTTCTCACTCCTGCTTCTAGGGGCAATATGTGGGGATATTTTTTATTGTTACAAGAGGGACGGAGGTGTTACCGGCATCTAGTGAGTAGAGGCCAGGGTTGCTGCCAAACACCCTACAAATGCATAAGATAGTCCTCCTACAAGAAAAGAATTAGCCAGCCCAGAGTGTCAGTAATACTGTTTTTGAGAAACTGATCTAATGACATAAAACCCAACATTTTGACACTGCTGGATGCTTTCTGTAGCTTTTGAACTCCTACAGCTCACAGAAAGATTTCTTAAGATCTAAAGCTGTTGATGGTGATCACATTGTTAAGGTCTTGCCCATAGTCATTAATTGCTGTACACAATTCTAATTAATTCATTCGGATAAACTTGAGTTTCACTACAGACTTATTTGTTGATATGCAAACAATTAAAACTCCTGGGAAGAGAAGGAAGTAAATTAGATACCTTGAATTTTCAGCTAGGGATCTGTGTGTCAAATGTTTTCTTTTTAAATCCTATTGCTTGATTTTCCCAGCCCGTGCACCAAATGCTAGATTTTTCATAATATAGCTTTTTACAAAATGCAGTCTGGTTCTATATGTTCTACTAGAATATCTATAACATTTTCCTTAACAAGCTGGAAGTTGGCTAGCTGGCCCTTGACTGCATTTTCTCTTCCCTGCTATGTTAAATCACCTGTGTTCATCTCCAGGACTGTGTTGCAATAACTGGGGTCTTGAGGTTGGATCCTCCTCAACTGTCTACTACCAGCTGGGAAGCCTTTGATGATCACTTTACCAATAAAGATAACACTTTCCTCATGGGCTAAATGGGGGAAGTTGAGTTAGTTAAAAGCTATGTGATATATGTATATTACATATACATATATACAATACTTAAGTAACATTTTAAATATATTGTCTCTTTAGGGAGTAATATTTATACAAATGCAAGAAAAGTTTATATCCACACCTAGTTCATTGAATAATCAAGCCCTAATAAAGAGAAGGATAGCATGGAACGTTGCTGGACCCATGCTGCATCTTCCCAACCCTGTTAAAAGATGTATCAGACTGTCTCTGAGAAGTGAGAAAGGATAAATTTGTCATAAAGACCCAAATCACTGTTACTCTCTTTCTGACACCTTAGAGTGAGAATGGACTTTTGCCACATTGCAGAGAATGAGCTGCAAAAAAACACAGACTTCTACCGTTACCCAGGGATTTCTTCTCTGTCCACTAGAGGAAACAAAAAATATATATAAATCTAGTCCTATTCCTAAAAGAATAGCCAAAAGAGGTATGGGTGACTATGCTTGCACACATATAAAAAAGGAGCTAGATTTTTTTTAAGACTAGCTTTCTCTTGGAATAAAAGTCTCAGAGAAACCTTTCTTTTACTGGCTGAAGCCTCTGAAAACAGCTGCTGACAGATGCCTCAAACTCCCTCAGCTACAGTCGCATAAGGAACCACCTTCCTTGATGCTTCCTCCACCTCCACTCCCTGCCTTCTGTGGGTCTTGTCTGTCTGTCTACTCTGGTAACAATCTCAATGGCTAGAGATTATATCTGAATTCTGCTCTTCTTGCAGCCTCCACTACATTACCTGTTCTCCTTAAATGTTAAACTATAAACTAGTTAAAGGTGAAACTCTAACCCTTTTTGAAAAGTTGTAGCAGATTTTATTCCCAAGATATTTGTGCTTCAAAATGAAACTTTCCCTCTCAGTGCAGCTCTGTGAGCTGTGGTAGGGAGATTAGAACCAGTATCTAAGCAATCAGAAATCCTGAGATGATTCAAAGAAAATAAAAGGGAAAAAAAGAGAGGAAAAGTGTTAAATTTTTTGTAGTAGGTCATTGAGATAATTTGGTCCCTGTTGCCTTAAAAACGTCTAAGACACATTTTCCTCCCTGACTCTTCTTTCTTTTCCCTCTGCTCCTCCTTCACCACCCTACTCCATCTCTAAAGATGAAGGTTAATATTAAGCATCACATTAATGGTTGTCAAATCAATCATGATTTCCTCTGAGTTATGTTACACAGAAGCAACATGCTTTATCAGAAATCAAAGAAAGGACAGTGCCAAAAGTGGATGAGCTAATGTAAAATCACTTACATGGGCACTCTAGAGACGGAAACCCGTTTAATACTTAATGTAGTCATTAACCTAAGAATGAGAAGGAGAGGGTAATGGATGGTCTACTCCCTTTGCCTACGGGACAGGGTACTGAAGTGAGCTGTCCCTTCTGGGATCAGATTCACCCACGTCTAAAATCCATAAAGTGGGTCACAGGTGAAGGGAATTGGAAAAGTCTCAAAATTCCCAGACATATTGTTCTAAGAGGACAGTTGTGCTCAGCGGACATGCCTGAAGTTCACCAACCTGCAGGAACCAGAAGCCACGTCAACTGAATTGCTCAATTAGTTTGTTATGGCAACAGACATGCTGTCCCCAATACATATGGTCAAACTGTAGCAAATAATCAATTATTGAAGGAACCATCTCCAAGAAGCATTAATCCATCAGGATATTGAAGGGTTTGTTTTTGTCTCTATTTAGATTTGGTTATCATAGAAGGAATTGTCCACTTTGACAGCTACCCAGAGTTGTCCCTGAGAGGCAGAATGTCAAAACCAATTTAGAATGAAAAGGGGGAAAAATACAGGCAAAGTCTGTAATAGTGAAGGCCATCTGATAAAGAACATTTTTTATATGTGATATTATGATGTTGTAGGGAACATTCTATTTATGCATCACAAATGCCAGCATATTCTCTACATGTACTTTTAAACAAGTTTATTCTAAGCAAACGATGCTGCTACAATCACTTTGCTTAAGTTGCAGCATTACTTCATGATATGATACAACACACACTAAATCCACATTTATTGTTTTATTTAATTGTATTTTTTACCACATGTTATCTTTTTTGGTGTAAATTTCCAGAGGCCTCCAAGAATTCAACCTCACCAAGTAAGTCAGTTATGATATTTTCATGTACATGAAACACCTCCATCTCTACCAACTCAGCAACTACTCATTTTTTTTTCTTTTTCACAAGTTTAAATCTAAGCCCTTTGACCCTAGGGAATTTTTAAAATATTCCTTGATGAAAGTAAGTGATTTCTGAATCTAGGCAGAAGCTCCAGGTATGCTGTATATCAAAGACTTGATCAGTCGAACATACCTCCACAAACAGTACCAAGACTACTTGGCCAGGTACAGTAATTGTCCAGGTACTTATACCTAAAAAAACATTTTTAAATTAGGGACAATTTTTCCATATAGTTTTTAAAACTAAACTTGTTCAAATAATATTTCACTTCATAAAAGTCAGTTTAGTTGAGAATACCAATTGTGGCAATAAACAATTATCATCTACTTTCAGTTGAAATCAGCAAGTAATTTTAAAGAAATAAAAAGTTTGGTGCTGGTTCATCTGTGTTATTTGAAAGAAGTGAGTTTATCGGAGCTTCTAATTCCAAATAAAGACTTCAATTAAAAAATAGGATACCGTTAGTTGTATCAAAATTCCTCAGTAGAATTCACTCTTGCCTCACCTGAAAGCTTCTCTAGAGGAACATAAGAAATGATGCAGCAAGAAGACTCCCATTTTCCAAAAGTCCCCTTTAAAATATTTATGAATATAATTTTACCTACTTCACTTTCTCTCGCCTCTCTGAACAACTCAGATCCCTGTTCAAGATAAGAAGTGAAAGGGCACCTAGAAGGAAGAAAAACTCACTTCATCCCATTCATTTCATTACCACAGGCTTTAAAATGTTTCGTAGCCATTAACCTAGATTTTCCACTTGTAGGAACTTATGCTCAAAAAACCATCAAACAATGCTCAAAGTTATATGTAAAAAGATGTTTATTACAGTACTGTTTATAATGAAGAAAAACTTGAAGCCAAGTAAATACTCAGTAACAAGTGTCTGCTTAAATGATATAATAGAGAAATAATATTATGAGGTCAATAAAATATATAAAAAGAATATTTGATGTTGTATTACAGAAGCAATTCTCTGGGCCTAGAACAGACTCCTCCCCATTTTTCCTCACTCAAAGCATTGTGACCTGGCCACTTGATTCACACCACAGAGCTGCAGAACGGATGAAGTGAAAAGCAGCAGTTACCTCAGACAGTGGTTGCAAAATGGGTCTAGACCAAATTGACTGGAAGTCTACAATAAGAAGCAATTAGACCACAAGAATCCTCCATTTTTCATGTTTATGTGACTACCTCTCTTTCTACCCTCCCTGATGATTTGCATTTTCTCTCTGGAAAGAGATTTTTGTGTTAAAGGTACCATCCTCAGCTATACTGAAGATATTATACTAAACACAGGTGGATTAAGGAAAGTGAGACATCAAACAGTGAGAAGCCTCATACACCCTGTCAGATGAGTGGAAGATTTCTCTCTAAGGAAAAGAACAAACCCAGGAGAAAAGCCACACAAATTCTGATCCTCTAGGAAACCACACACACAAAAAAAAGTCTCATTTGGATCACTCATCTTACAGGAAAGTCTACCAATGGGCAGCCCTACCCACATAATTGTACAAATCAGCTTCTCAGCACTATAATCTTAAAAATAAAGCGATAGCCAAGCTCATCAGCAATTTGGAGAAATTTAAAGTTGAACAAGTTTTAAAAAAACACATAAGGGCCAGGTGTGGTGGCTTATGCCTGTAATCCCAGCACTTTGGGAGGCCGAGTTGGGTGGATCACCTGAGGTCGGGAGTTCAAGACCAGCCTGACCAACATGGAGAAACCCCCTCTCTACTAAAAGTACAGAATTAGCCGGGTGTGGCGGCTCATGCCTGTAATCCCAGCTATTCTGGAGGCTGAGGCAGGAGAATAGCTTGAACGCGGGAGGTAGAGGGAGGTAGAGGTTGCGGTGAGCCGAGATCATGCCATTGCACTCCAGAGTCTGGGCAACAAGAGAAAGACTCCATCTCAAAAAATAAATAAATAAAATAGGAAAAAAATTCAAAGAAACAGGAGAAATTCCAAGGAAGAAAATAAAACTATTTTTAAAACTATAAGAATAACCTCAGAGAGATAATAGAAAATATTTCATTCATAAAACAAAAACATAAGTATATCAAAGATAAACATTCAGAGAACACGAAAGAACTCTTAAAAATTAAAAATAAAACAATTTTTTAAAATGAATTATACAAATTAAAGATAAGGAAATCTCACAAAGAAGAAAGAACAAACATAAGAAACTAGAGGATTAAGTTAAGAAATCAAACACGCAATTAATAGGAGTTCAAGAAACAAAGATGAAAGAAAACTTAATAAAGAAAATTATCCAAAAAAATTAACTTTACTGAATTGAGTACTATGCCTATCAAATTCCCAGTATAATGGATGAAATGGGATAACACTAAAATACATTTTCCTAAAATTTCATAGCAATGGGGACAAAAAGAAGCTTCTAAATACTTCCAGAGGGGAGGAAATGAGTTTACAAGACAAGGATACTGTTTCTCAATGACAATTGTAGAAGCTAATAAGCAATAGAGGAATACCTTCAAAAATCTAATTTCTAAAATTTCTTCCAATTTAAAATGTAATATATAACCTATCATCAAGTAGAAAAGGGGAGAACAAAATATTTTCAAATAATCAATTTGAAAAATGTACTTCCCATGCATCCTTTCTAAGGAATCTAGTGGAAGAACTGCTCCAACAAAAGGAAAGAGTAAAATAATAAAAAAATAAAACATGGGATGCAAGAATCAGGAGTTTCAACACAAGAGAGAAGATATGAGAGTCCCACATGATAACAGATGGACATTGCTACATGGCATCCGTGTTGCAAGCCTCAATAGAAACCAGTCCAAACTGGAACAAGAGTAAACAAGATTCTGACAGAATATTTCTTAGAAAAAAAAGAAATGATCATCTGGATAATTGGTGGTATTTGTAGGGACCTTCAGTTCTACCATAGAATTTGAGGATGAAATGGTGGTACCCAGAAAACCAAGCTGAGCATTTTTTATGTGGAAGGAAATTACTGACTTCTGGAAAAACAAAAGTGTTTTGTAGGATAGTAAATGTAACCCTAGTGTAATATGTGGCTCAGTTGTAAAAAAAAAAAAAAAAAAAAAAAAAGTTTATATTGCCATAATACAGTAATGAATTTATTACATAATTCTACTGAGTATGAATTAATAAAAGTTGTGATACACCTATACAAGGGAGATGAGGTAGGGGAAGTGAATACACATATGTGGTGAAAAGAAAGAAAGCTAAATCCTTATCTTCCATAATAAGAAGTCAAACCAAAAATTCAAATATAACAAAATAAGCATGTTGTCCTTGTAAATTATAGATTAAGGATACAGAAGAACAGGTGACAAACTAACTACTTGTACATTATATGTTTTATAGAACTATTTGGCCTTTAGGCTCAGTACATAAATAGCTGTAATACAACTACAACTTTAATTCACTTTAAAAACAAACAAACATATTTTTTCTTCAATTATTGGGAGACTACCTTATGAGATAACAAACATATATTGAAAGACAAGTGTTATGTCATGTTGGGAATGCAAAGATAATAAATCCTGAGTGACCCATCTTTGCCCCTTAATAGTTGTTTGAAGTTGGGTACTTAGTCTAACCCTGCATGTGCCTCAGTTTCTGCATCAGAAAAGGAGGATAAGGCATGATAATATAAACAAATTACTTCAAGCTATAAAAATAACAGAAGACACAGAATCATAACAACTTCAATGCAGTTTGATCCTTGTTCTTCTAAAATTATAAACCCAGTGAAGAAGGGCAAAGAGAAAGATCCACTTAAATCCATAGGGATTCAATGGTCCTCTATAAAAACAAGGCTTCCAGTGAATGTCAGGTTCCAGTTATAACAGACCTGGACTAGATACATTTCCAAGTTCTCTTCCAACTCTCTAAGCCTATGAATATACTGTGAGGATATATCAGAGTAGATGTCAAAACAACCAGTTGCTTTAGACCAGCCGTCCCCATCCTTTCTAGCATCAGGGACTGATTTCGTGAAAGACAACTTTTCCTTGGGGTGGTGGTGGTTTTGGGATGATTCGAGTGTATTACATTTATTGTGCACTTTATTTCTAATATTATTACATTGTAACATGTAATGAAATTACTATACAACTCACCATAATGTAGAATCAGTGGGAGCCCTGACCTTGTTTTCCTGCAACTAGATGGTCCCATCTGAGGTGATGGGAAACAATGAAAGATGATTAGGCATTAGATTCTCATAAGAAGCATGCAACCTAGATCCCTTGCATGCACAGTTCACAATAGGGTTTGTACTCCAATTAGAATCTAATGCTGTCGCTGATCTGACAGGAGATGGAACTCAGGCTGTAAGGTGAGTGATGGGGAGCAGCTGTAAATACAGATGAAGCTTTGCTCTCTTGCCTGCTGCTCACCTTCTGCTGGTGCAGCCTGGTTCTTAACCAGTCCATGGCCTGGGAGGTGTGGACCCCTGCTTTAGACAACTCATTGATTTTAAAAGTTATCAATTCTATTTTAGTAATATTGTTTACATCATTTCTTTTTTTTAAAAAAAGTATTTATTTTGAACTTACTTCTGTGTAAAACACACAAACTGTGCTAGACCCTCAGACGAATTTCAAGAAAGACAAGACGTGGAGACTGCCTTTGAGAACTTTACTAAAAAGTAGAGTGTTTTTAAACTATTTATGGACAAGATTAATAAGTATGAGAGCTACCCTGTAATCATTTTGAAAATAACCTGGATTCTTAAATATTGATAACCAGAAAGTGAGAAGAATGGTTAAAAGAATTGTTGTGTTGATGTCTTGATTATAAAAAGTCTTCAATAAAGCTAATCCCAAATCACTGAAACAGCTGTCACATGGGAGAAGAAGTAAACACATTTTGCATGTGTGGTAGAGCACCAAACAAGGAGCAATGGGCTGGCAGTAGGAGAGGGGGAGAATACAGGAGAGGAACTTGGCTCATAATAAGAAAGAATGCATACGTACAAAATTGGCTGCCCTGTGAAGAAATGAAGACCACCTTACTGAAAGGATTAAATAGAGCCCAAATAACATTTTCCAAAATGTTATAGAGGGAATTCTTGCTTAGGGTGTGGAGTTGCAGACTAAGTGAACTAAAAATTTCCTACCTTCTCTAGAATTCCATTTATGTTAGAGATCATAAGTACAGCCAAAATTCAAAGAGAAGGAGAATTCCATCAAATGGTCAACTCAACAAAAAGAAAACAATCATGCCAGTTATAGTCACACTATAAGGGAATAAAAAAGAGGAAAGGAATCAAACAAGCATACAGCACATATGCAAACCATTAGGATATTTCCTTTTACATCTAATTGTTTCAGGATTGTACCAATGCATCCATATTAAATTATAATGTTAATAGGTTGTCCTTTTACCTAGAGTAAAATAGCCAAGAAAAGATGTGTTATCTAAAACTATTAAACTGGAATGCTAGTTAAAGATATTGAACCGTAGAAAGATGAGCCACCTACAGAATCAATAACAACATTTTAGTTAGGACCTTGAGGGTGTTTGCCAGCCTTATTGACTGTGGCCAGTTCCATTCTGTTTAACCTATGACAGCTGATGAAACTAGACCCTGGGGTGGAATTACTGCCCAATTCATCAGTGATGATTATTGAGCTGTTACCAGCGAGATCTTGGAAAAATCTTAATGCCAAGCTATTCAGATGAGGGAATTGGTAAATATATTTCTTTTACATCTTCTAAACTTGTGCTCTCTCCTGAGCAACTCTATAATATCTAACCCTAAAAATAGTGCACAAAGATGGGGAACATTAAATTGAAATTACTTTATAGCCCTAAAAATGGTCATGACATTTAGCCAATAAATTTGAAGAGCTGTTAAGTGGAGGGAATTTCATAATGCAGATCTTATCCAGTTATGATGTATAGTATGTATCCATGGGGAAAGTGACCTTAATCAACAGAAATATTTGTGAAATAACCATTTAAAAATGAATTTAGAATAGTAAAACTGGTAAATCATAGTATTAAATGAATGTTCAAGAAAGAATAACTTTTCATCTACAGTGAGAGTAGGTAGTGGTAATATTAAAATGAAATATGCCACAGTTAATAGTAGTATATTTGAGGATGAAACCTGGATGAAATATCGGACGACAGTTGCTGTTAATGAGACTTGCATAATACGATTGAACTCATGTTTGGAATTGATGGTGCCTTTGATTGTTGTTAAGGCAGCCAAAGTCTTCTGCGTGCCTAGCTTTCACAATATTTTAGCATCTTGATTAGTTCCTATTCCTAAACCAAGGGTCCTATGGGTAATTTATTTACAGCATGATCTATTTACTCACTGTTACAGGCGAAACATGGCAGTACCAAAACTCTTTCTTTGCAATAAACAGCATATTCAGATAGAATAAGGTTTAAAATGACAGAAACTCTTTCATTTGCCCTTTTGCACTCACTGTACTTACAAGTATCACCAAAGTTACTTTAAATTCAACAGACCACAAAACGTTCTTTTTTAGAAACTTTGGTTCTCAAAAAATTTTAAGAATCTTATTTATCAAAAGAATTAAATTAGCATTTGGTTAATAAGCTGCTCTTGTCTTTTTATGTAAAGAAGATGTAGCAAGATTTTTATTGTCTATGAAGAAAACATATTCCACTCTCCCTGCCTGCTTTTACCACTGAACTAGAAATAAGCATGTAATTTTTAATAATTTTCTCTATTTATATGTGAACATATAAATGGTTCTTTTTTATTGATAATTTGACTATAATGATATCATATGATTACCAACTGGTTTCTTTGGCAGTATTATAATTATTTTTCTAACACAAAAAATTTGTTTTGTCAAAGAAAGAAATTATCCAAATAAGCCCAAAAAAATCTAAACTCTGAATTTTAAAAAGCTGTGGGGAAACAGCTCTTATTTATATTTTTAAACATTTATTTATAATATCAAATAAAGCATATAATTGAACTATATTAAGTGAAAGAAATAAAGTAAAAATAGATATCTGAGATAATGGATTTTTCATAACATTCAGGAATCTGAAGTTATAGACAGCTTCAGCATTTTACAAGTAGAAGCTACTTTTAATACTGCTCAGTCTTTAGTCTTTTGTTATGGGCTCATTTTTCTCACTGTGGAAAAACAAACCATAATTGTAGAAAAACTGCAGGAGCCAAATTCTTGGTAATTATAGTGTAAGTACACACACTAGTCTCTCAAAGATGACAAGCACTATTTGTGGTAGTTGCTCAGTGATGGTAAACAAGAAAGAGCATCTGACAATCTTATATTTTGAAGTTTACATCACAAGTTGAAAGCATATATAATCAAGAGAAAAGCACAGGGATTCAATAGTTCTCACAAAAGAAAAATGTTTTTATATCGTGAAAAGAATCCTTTTTCTGAAAGTGCTGTTACAGTTTTTCCCAGATATTTTCTTGTTTTATGGCTTACTCCTTTTCAAAAATAAAACCTAACAAAGAAGAAAAACAGTTTAGACTCAAAGATGACATTTACCTTATATTAAAATGCTCTTTTCACAGAGATTGCAGACAGCTTTCATAGCATTTCAATCAATATGAAAACTAAATCAAACGTTTTTGAGTTGAAGTCAAAAGATTCAGTTTAGTGACACAAATAAAACAATGAACTCAAACTCTATGGAAGTGAGAGTATTTACTAATAGGAACATGTCCCATTCCATTATATGTTTTATGTATAATTTGCGCCATGGAGCACATGACCAAACCATTTCTATTTGTTCATTTATCTAAGTAATCCACAAGACATGAAAAATCAAGATGAGACAAACTGGTCATTGTTCTAACTTTTCAAATAGATAAGAAAGTTTGCAATCCTAAACCATGGAGGGAAGATCTGTAAGAGAAAGAATTTATCCTGAGAGGCAGTGGAGAAGTTTGTTGCTTCCGTTTTTTATCTATGCTGCAAAGGGCATATAAAATAAAGACGTGGGAGCTTTTTTACCACCTAGTAAACGAATCATGAGTCATTGCAGAAAGCTAGATTCTTACAGAATCAGAATGACCATGTGTCTTTGCATTAAATGAGGTTGACAAAGTCTTGAACATTGGAAATAAACAGAAAATATTATCTTTATTCACGCAAAGCTGCGATTCATCTATATCTCAACAGTTTTGTTAGTTCTTAATGCCGCTATGAAAAAAGTACATGGTGAAACTAGAAACTACCTACCAGAAAGAAGAGAAGTGAGGCAGAGAATGGAAAACAGAAAGTGGGGTTAAATCATGGGGTAGATGAAAAAAATGGGAATTTTGCTCACCCTCATGTCTGTAGAACTTTCTGAAAATGAAACGTTTCTGTCCTATCAGCCACATCTGCTCAGAGATTTACGCTTTTTTTCCCTCATTCCCTCTAGAAGAAAAGTGAGATTTAGGTGATCTAAGGGTTATCAGGTGTCTCTAGTTCCACACGAAGACACCAATCTCTCCTGGCCCTGCCTCCATTCTTCCATCAGCTTTTCTTCCTACAGTTTAATTGCTGATTTTCTTAGGTCTTGCTCTTCATTCTCCTTTCTTCTGACTTCAGTGCTCTCTATGGACAATCTCATCAATATCTATGGCTTCCAGTGGCATCTGTGTAGAAATACTAACCACTCCCAGATCTGCATCTGCTTCTCACAAGCCACTTCTGAGTTCCCAGCCAATACCTGCAACTGCCTACTACACATCTTAACCTGAGAACGCAAGTCAAGCACATCAAGTCCAATAAATATAATACTAAAATAATAAATTTTCCTCCCCAGCCAGCTCCTTTTTCTGTATTCTCTATCTCAAATGGTTGTAGCACCATATACCAAATCTCCAATGAGTGCCTATCACTCACATCTAATCAGAAATAATAATACATGGCAGACATCCTTCTAAATATTTTCCACACATTTGCATTTAATCCTCACAGCAACCCAATGAGGTAGGTTCTGTTATTACCCCCATTTGACAGATTAAGATACTGAAAACCAGAGAGGTTAAGCAACTGGACCAAGGTCACCTACTAACAAGTGGCAGAATCAATTTTTAAACCTAGCCTGTCTGACTCTATCATATGACACCTTTATAAAGCTTATCAGTTCTAACTCTGAAATATCTCTTGATTCCTTCTTCCATTCCCTCATCAACATTTTTATACCATCACTTCCTATCTAGACTACTGCAGGAATTTTCTAAATGGTTTATTTGCCTCAAATTTACCTCAAACCCATTTGTCTCACTACACCTTCTAAAATAGGCATCTGAAAGCATTACCCCCTTGCTGTAAAACTATCAATACTCCTCTTAACCCATAACAGTGTTTCCCACAAATTTTAAGTTTTGGCTTTGGTTTGTTTGGGGGTGTTGCTTTTTGTTTTTGCAGAAATCAGGGCCATTACATATTAGGTTTCTAATTTACTAAATTTTTGCTGGTGCTTCACACCAGACTCATCATATATTTTTTATCTCCTTAGGCTCTTTCACCTGCCTTAAAAAGCCTTTCTCTCACTTGTGCTTGGCTAATTCCTAATTATCCTAAGTTTGGGGAACTGAACAAAAAAGTCTTCCCAGACCCTACAGGCTGGGTAGATGCCACTCCTCTGTTCTCCCATACATATCCATAGCACCTTCCCTGCTTGATTATCACAGTAGCTGAGAGAATGGACTGCAGAATTGGTCACACTGCGTTTGACTCCTGGCCGTATTACCTACCAGCTTGGTGGCATTAGGCACTCAAAAACTTTGCCACTATCATTACCACCCTCATCCCACTACACCAGATTTATCTCCTACTTCATCTATCTTCCTTGCCAGACTATGAACCAAAATACAGGGACATCTTCTATATCTTGCCATCCCAGCTTTTAGCACAATGCCTAGCCCATAGGAGATGCTCAAATAATGTTAAACTAAACTAAAAATAAAACACAAAGTCCTGCTTTATAAGCAGAATAATAAATATTATATATGTAACTTTTGCTGTAAGTTATTGAAGTAATTTATAAAAGTGTTTGAATAGATCTGTGTGTGTCAGACATAAGAGACTACAAAAAGGTCATGGGATTGGCTTCATCTTTTCCAGTGCCATTGGAGAAAGCATATCAAACCCTCCTCCTTAGCTGACAATAGAATATAAGACACCTGAGTATGCAGTGATTTCTGTGCTCTGTTTGATGGTTCATTAATAACCCAGAAAGAAGCAATCAGACCGAAAAATAAATTTAGAAATGCCATAGAATAATTTGGTCTTTCCTTTGCAAGAGAACTGGTTGTCTTGACTTTTACCTTGTATTTTGTGTCATACTGTTCTTCTGCAACAGGGAATGTAACAACCTCCCATTCAGGGCTATTTTTCTCTTATGCATCATCTTTTTTGTAGTGAACCTCTCAGATGGGTTTGGTTGTATGTTAATATTACGATAGCAAACTGAGTTGGTATTTATCTTCCATATCAGTCAGTTTGAAACGAGAGATTCAGAAATACAATTATATTGCAATGAATTATACTATATCACATTATCACATTATTTTTACATAATTGGTTTAATTCAGTTTCAGAGAAAATATTTTAAATTTATCAATATAAAGCTTTTTCTCACAATTCTTAATAATTACATAATTTTTAATCAAATAAATATTGGTTTGAATTTGATACAAATGTTCTAAATCCAACCCTGAAACATAATACTAGCCATCCTGTCTGGGTCCGAAGTCCTAAAAGCAATCAGGCTTGAAAAAATTCTGTCAGCATGTCTACTGAAATTTAGGAAGCTCTTTTTCTCTCTTACTTCAAGCATGATGGCTGGATTTTTCCAAATTATTTTGTTGTGAAGGAAGGCTGCCAGGTATCTAAATATGAAAATGCTCTGTTTTCTCTTAGTATAATTGCGCAGAGGATAGCAGAAGGCTGTAACCAAGCAGCCCTTGGCTCTTAGCACACAGAAACAAAAGGGCCATTTTTAGGCTACCATTATCCAGGATGAATCATCCCCAATCACTTTGCACATTTGTGTTGTGTGTCCCCACAGAAGATATAAATTCCCAGGAAAGAAACTGGTTGGCCCAGTTTGAGTCATGAGCCTTCTCTTTGACCAGGGAAAATCTCTCTCTCTCTCTCTCTCTCTCTGCGTGCGTGTGTGTGTGTGTGTGTGTGTGTGTGTGTGTGAGAAGGAGTGTGCATGTGCGCGTGTGTGTGTGTGTGTGTGTATCACTCCACTCATGCCATAGAAATGTAACTCAGGCTGCACCAAAAGGACTCAAGTTCAAAACTGTTTTCAGAGCTTTTGGAGAAAAAGTCTTCTTTCCGCTGAGATCACCAAGCTGGTAGGATATAAACCAGGAGCTACTGGTGGCCATTTGCCATTTGGCCATCTCTTGGGAAGAAGCTTTCCTTCCTGAGAATAAAACCAAAACAAAGAGGCTGACAGAGAAAGTTTCCATTGTGAAAGTCTGAGAGTTGGATCTTTTTTCTCTCAAATAAAACAGTGATCTCTTCGGGCCTAAGCACCTGGCCTCTCCTGGAAAAGCCAGGGTTCTCTCAAGGAAAAAACTTTCAATCTCTCCGAAACATTGGCAAGTGAGATTTTACTCTAAAATCCTCTGTACAAAATATTTTGAGAACCTGTCATCAGCTAACACCTTAATCACAAAAGAACCTCAGTGAGGCCCCACTTTAATAACCTGTTTCCTGATGAATCATGCACATATTAGCCTTAAAATATATACTGGCACCAAGTAGGTAATGGCAAATATTTGATTAATATAATGTTTTTCCCATAGAATGAAAGTTCAGAGAGGACTATAAATCAGAATGGCAAAGGTAGGTGAATGATATTTTGGGAATTGGGCAAGGGTGAAGGGTTGAACTTCTAAAAAAAAAAAAAAACTCACCATGAAAGTCACCACTATCAACTATGGCTACTAGGAAGTTTGCACAAGTTTCTTAATAAATTACCTACTAAAAATGCCCCAGAAAAATAGATTCTAAACACATATGGGGTCATAAATGATAAAAGAAAGGAGAAAAAGAGAAGATATGTAGGAAGTGATTAAGCCCTTGACAAATGAAATAACTTATAATAACCTTATGAAGTATTTTAAAAACCTAAATAATTAAGGCAGAAAACAAACTGGTGTAAAACGAAATGGTATTTTGGAGGATACTGTAAATCACTCTTGGCTGACACTAACATTTCTTCATCTCAGCATGAGGCTCGTGTAGTGAGATATTGATGCCGAAGCCTCTGCACATACCACTCCATCAAAAAAGATTATTGTGTTTAAATTTTTATCTGTGATGTGTTTATTATTGGCCATGAGAGCTGAGGGCAGAAAAGGTTTTGAGACGGGATAAAACATTCCCATCTCCCTTGTGATGGTATGGTACCTTTGGCAGCTCAATTCAAAGGAGGAAGACATTCTGCACTGAGAGAGCTGAGTGTAGCATCAGAACCCAGCGGGTGGCATGCGGGTTCCTTCTGCCCCCTTTTTAGGGATCTGTCTTCTTTCCCTTCTTGGTTTCTTTGCTATTCTTTTCTCATCTCTTCTCCTACACTGCTTCAAAAGCACAAACGTGTTGGGGACATATCCAAGATTACACAGGTGATAAACAGAAGAGCCAGAATTCAAACCTAGGCTGATTCCAAAGTCTCTGCTCTTTCCACAAAGTACAAGCTTATGTCACAAATTTTGAAAAAAAAAAAAAAAAAGAAAAATATTAAGAAGCCATTACAACTGATGATGTTCTTCTCACACCAAAAATGGGGAAAATCAGCTTACATTAAAATACATATAATTGCATTTTTGTATTGCATGCATAGAAACATCTTGGGAGAAAATATAATAAATGTTTAATAATGATTATCTCTGAATAATTGTAGGTGATTTGTATTTGCTAATTATTTTCACATAAACATTCCTTACATTTATAAATTTATAAAAAGATATTATATTCATTCATCTAACAATTATTTAGGCTCATGCCTGTAATCCCAGCACTTTGGGAGTCTGAGGCAGGCGGATTGCCTGAGCTCAGGAGTTCACGACCGGACTGGGCAACACGGTGAAACCCTATCTCTACTAAAATACAAAAAAAATTAGCTGGGCATGGTAGCATGCGCCTGTAGCTCCAGCTGCTCAGGAGGCTGAGGCATGAAAATTGCTTGGGCCCGGGAGGTGGAGGTTGCAGTGAGCCGGGATTGCGCCGCTGCACTCCGGCCTGGGCGACAGAGCAAGACTCTGTCTCAAAAAAAAATAAATATATATATATAGTGAGTACCTACATTGGGCTAGATGTCATTTGAGGCACAGGAACTACAGAATTATCACATAAACAGATTATGTTTCTGCCTTCTTAGAAGTTGACTTCTAGTGAGGGTAGAAGAGAAAGAGACAGACAATAAATATGTAAGAAAAACATATAATATCCAGGAGGTGATTACATTTTGTGGCAATATTATAAAATCTGTGAATTCTATTAGTTCAAGAATACAGATTCTTTCTGTAAAAGTACACCAGACTGCCAAAATCCTATACTGTAATTACAAAGTAATTCAAGCACGTTAAATTCATTCATTCAATAATTTAACTATTTTTCCATATATCTTAGATGCTGAAGGTATTGAAAGTAAAGATAAAATAATTATTGCCTGAACATCACAGTCCAGTGAATAGCAAATTATGTAGGTGGAAAAACTGATAGTCTTCTACAAATATTATGGAGATGGATAATGCATGATCTTTGACAAAAAGATTCAAGAGATTCAAGCCATTTACAAAACAGTTTACTGCTGCCACCCTCTACCCTAGCCAAAAGCATAGAGTAGTGATAGTGACATTGCTGAGGAGACATGAACACCCATGGTACTGCATGTGTGGATGACAAGAATGTGACATTGACAGTGGACTGTATATATGCTGCTATATCACTTTCATTTCTTAGTAAAATTTCCTATGACTACAAAGATTACGTCTATAATCACAGAACAGTATTCTTTTAATGCTTATAGAGTAGAAAATTCGAAACTTAAGAAAATAAAAGTAACAACAAAATTACCCATAATTTTACCAACCCGAGGCAATCATTGTTAATACTTAATTCTTTTTCTTCTGGATAAATAAAAAATATAAATGCTTTCGAAGGGAACATATGACCTGATTGTATGGAGTAGAATATAGATACACAAGATGGTAATTTCTATGGAAATGTATTTGAATACTTCTCAGAGACTTAATTTGGGTCCATTATGTTGGAGTCACTTTTTATCTATCCAGTTTGGTTTCAATAACTCTAAACATGTAATAGCAAAATTTTGTTTCCAGCCATCTTCATTTTCCCGGTTTCCTCTTAACTAATTTTTTTCTACTTGGTCCAAAGGGATGCTTTTATTTGGTTTAAAGCAGAAGTGAAATGTTAACCAATTTCTAAAAGTGTCTGTCAAGAAGGTGACACCTTTAATGCTGACAGGTACAGAGTAATGACATGACTGACAAGATGTGAATGCTCATGGCACTGTGTATGAAGATGACAAGCAAGTGACAGCAGCAGCAGGCTGTGTGCTGACCAGCACAGAGTGAGTTGGGCAGCCTCCAGCAACAAATAAGTCAGAAAGATCAGGATAAAATTGTCAAACATACAAAAAAAGGAATAGTTACTGATACATAGCAAGTAACGAATTGAACACAAGAGTTCCCCAGTTTCTTCACCACAATATGTAAAGGAAATGACAACTTGGTTGTGTTTTGTTTTTGTTTTCTCTCTTTCCAGACCTATTCTTCTCTATTTCACTTCTCAATGTCTTAGTTATCCTGTATTTGCTTTCATGTTTCTCTTCATGGTCTGTGGATGCCTCTTACCAAGCTGTAGACATGTTCACATGCCCTCCCCTCAAAGGTAAAGACCAAACCAGAGCAGAAATGAGTAAGATGAGTGCACAAGACACAATGAGAACATTTGCTAGAAGACGCAAAAGGAGGTTTGTTGTTCTCTTTCCTGCTTCTAGGTGAAAGGAAATATAATCGTATAATTTACACAAATCGCGACCCCACTTCCAGAACACATAAATTTTCAGTTTTCTGAGCCTAAACTGGGAATTTCTTTGATGGTCTTTGCCAAGTCCTGATGTACCTTCTGGAATGATCTGACTTACCACATGTTGTCTATCATGAACGCTTCTCCCTCAAAAAAAAATTAATAATGTCTCTGTCAGCTTAAATTTTCTTAACAAGAACTGACTATAGCAGAAGATATTAATTAGGGACGTTTTGCATTACGCTAACCACAACATATTAGAATGCAATTCCACTAAGAATGGGGCTAGTTAAAAAATTGTTCTGCTGCAATGGGGCTGCTGAATTTAAGGTGACATGTTTTGTTTCTCCCAACAATGAGTGATACAAGTACTAAAAATGAATAGCAGTTACCTATAACTCTTGAGCAGAAATTGATGTGATCAAAAGCTGGATTTGCTCCTTGATGTTTAAGTCTCAAAGCTTTGCACTTACAACTATTTAAAGACGCTTTAGAAATTTATTGACATTTCTAACAGAAAACAATACCTTCATATTATCACATTATAGAACTTAGCCTTTTTCCTCTTTTTCTCATTGAAATAATTATTTTTTATAATGCAGTTTTTAATAACTTGAGTTTTCCTGGGACTACTACAATTGAGTTGTATTAGAAGAGAGTGCCTATATTGATGGATAGTTAATTTCAAAGATTTAGAGATGCCTTTTAAACAATATATCCCAAGCTTACTAAAAAGATTGAATATATTTACCCAATAGTGTTTGTGTTGATTCATTCCTCTGGCCTAAGCATCATCCTCTTTATGGTTCCATTTAACATGCAAAATAATCTCAGTTCTATACATTGATCTACTTACTCCTTGTCAGATTAATGTGCTTGTCATATTCCTTTTGTTGGACACTTAGTGCCAAGATGATGCAAAAGTAAAAGATATTCAATAGAAATCAGAGATTAAAATATTTGCTCCCTTGCTGTCCCTGCAAACAAACTTCCAAGGATTTCTAACTGATGTTACTGAATGGCAAACATCACAAGTTTTAATTTAAATATAGTATTTTGTGGTGGAATTTGTTTATGCTATCATAATTATTATTTTATTTGGATAATACCATAAGACATTAATTTACTAAAATAAAATAATTGATCTTCCCTTTATAATGTATGATTTTTATGCGGATTAGGTATATTTTAATCACATTTACATTATTTCTTTATGATTTGAGCACACTTCATTTTCTAGAAGGCATTTTCAATTTTCTGAGTGGCTCAGTGGACAAATATAGTTCAAAACCAGAATCTTACCATAAAGCCATTCTTTCACCGGCATATCTGAATTGCATGTTACAGGATAGACTAATGGTAAAAGAAGGAAAACATATAAAGATACAACAAAAAGCTGAAACATTTTGTATTTAATGAAGGCAAAAGTCTTTAGGAAACTAAAACTTTCACTAATGGGCTAGCTTATGTGTGCTTTTGTAGTGTACTGTATAAGGAGAAGCTTATAAAGTAACTATTGTTTCCATATCATGACAAAATGCTCATCTTTGCAGTTCTACTGACACTCCTCAGCGGGACTCTTAGGCCACCAAAAGAATAGTTCTCTGCCGCCATTAATATCTAATTGGCCCAGGAGCTAACCCAGAAGAGACCTTTCCTGCCAACGGTCACCGCCCCCTGCAGTGATTTGCACCCACTGACACCAGAGTGGCTAATTCACCTTCACAACCTGTCAGCTTCCACTCAGATCACTTTAACTCTGCTTCCTTTGTGACACGGATCTGCTTTTAAAATGGTGATAATCTAAGAAGCAGTCCTCTTGAGAGTCAGTTGTGATTATATAATCTGTCACAGACCCGAAGGAGTTATAAATACAGGCGGACACTGAGATTTCACCAGGGATAAGGCATTGGAAGCCCTTATATCAAATAACTTCCTTGCTTCCCTCTTAGAAGAAATTCTGTATTTTTATTCATGGACAAAAGCATACCATGAGGGCGGCATCGTTATCAAAAGAGAGTAGGGGAGCTCTTAGCCATTAGCCAAACATAATTTTCCGAGTTATCCTCTCTGATCTTAGGTGCTGAAATCAAAAGCACACACTTTGGAGTAAATGGTAATTGGAGCACTAAGTGATTTGAACGATGATAATTGGTGTGTCATTGCCCAATACAAGCAAAAGAGAATACACAAACAGAAATAATTCTGTCCTACTCCACACAAATTTCACATACATTAAGCAATGAACCTACAATTACCCATGATACTGGAGCCCCTGGCACCTCAATTACTCATGGTTCGTTCATCAGCAGCTCCAATTTTTACTTTAAGCTCACAGTTAACTTTCTCACAATTTTTAAAATGTAAGTTCTTTATACCAGCAGATCTGTGTATGTAATTTGGTAAGGAAACAGTAATCTTGGCTTAAAGCCAATCACCATCTTGTGCTAGCCTGAAACCAATCATGCTGAAAACTGATTCTCACCTTGTCTTACACAGGAACTACTGACATAAAGTATATTCATATACACCTACCTGCACACTCATCCATGGAGTGGCACTGAGAGGTGACAGCGTGCTGGCCGTCCTCGTAGCCGTCGCTTGCTCTCGGCGCCTCCTCTGCCTGGGCTCCCACTTTGGCGGCACCTGAGGAGACCTTCAGCCCACCGCTGCACTGTGGGAGCCCCTTTCTGGGGTGGCCAAGGCCGGAGCTGGCTCCCTCAGCTTGCAGAGAGGTGTGGAGGGAGAGGCGCGAGTGGGAACCGGGGCTGCGCGCAGCGCTTGCGGGCCAGCTGGAGTTCCGGGTGGGCGTGGGCTTGGCCGGCCCGCACTCCCAGCGGGTGCAGGCCCCGCCGCCCGGGCAGTGAGGGGTTTAGCACCTGGGTCAGCAGCTGCTGTGCTCAATTTCTCGCCGGGCCTTAGCTGCCTTCCCGCGGGGCAGGGCTCGGGACCTGCAGCCCACCATGCCTGAGCCTCCCCCTCCATGGGCTCCTGTGCGGCCCAAGCCTCCCCTTCGAGCGCCGCCCCCTGCTCCCAGTCCCATTGACCACCCAACGGCTGAGGAGTCCAGGCGCACAGCGCAGGACTGGCAGGCAGCTCCACCTGCGGCCCCAGTGCAGGATCCACTGAGTGAAGCCAGCTGGGTTCCTGACTCTGGTGGGGACTTGGAGAATCTTTATGTCTAGCTAGGGGATTGTCAATACACCAATCTGCACTCTGTATCTAGCTCAAGGTTTGTAAACACACCAATCAGCACCCTGCGTCTAGCTCAGGGTTTGTGAATGCACCAATGGACACTGTATCTAGCTGCTCTGGTGGGGACTTGGAGAACCTTTGTGTCCACACTCTGTATCTAGCTAATCTAGTGGGGACGTGGAGAACTTTTCTGTCTAGCTCAGGGATTGTAAATGCACCAATCAGCGCCCTGTCAAAACAGACCACTGGGTTCTCGGTAAAATGGACCAATCAGCAGGATGTGGGTGGGGCCAGATAAGAGAATAAAAGCAGGCTGCCCCAGCCAGCAGTGGCAACCCGGTCCATCCCCTTCCATACTGTGCAAGCTTTGTTCTTTCGCTCTTTGCAATAAATCTTGCTGCTGCTCACTCTTTGGGTCCACACTGCCTTTATGAGCTGTAACACGCACTGGGAAGGTCTGCAGCTTCACTCCTGAAACCAGCGAGACCACGAACCCACCGGGAGGAACAAACAACTCCAGACGCGCTGCCTTAACAGCTGTAACACTCACCGTGAAGCTCTGCAGCTTCACTCCTGAGCCAGCGAGACCACGAACCCACCAGAAGGAAGAAACTCCAAACACATTGGAGCATCAGAAGGAACAAACTCTGGACTGGACACGCCGCCTTTAAGAACTGTAACACTCACCGCGAGGGTCTGCGGCTTCATTCTTGAAGTCAGTGAGACCGACCCACGAATTCCGGACACAGCACATCCCCCATGCAGGCATCAATCCATACATACAGATAGAGTGTTGATAGAATAGTGCCTCCCGCAGCCAGGCCTTAATCGCAGATAGACATACACATTCATGGACACACATTGCCGCATGTTGATACTTGCAGAGGTATTCATACATGTGCAACCACACCTGTCTTCATTCAATAGGACAAGAATAGCACTTCCTTAAATCTCTTCCATGGGCCACTGCTCCCATGAAATATTTAAAGCCAAAGAAATGTCCAGTGGATACTATTCCCACGAGCAAATATACTAGGGAATACTGTGCAATAATCCCCACTTCTTAGAGTTTCTCAGTGTGCATTAGCCAGCCCTTCATTAAAGCAACACATGTTAATTAGTATCACTCCATATTTCCCACGTTTATTTATTCTTTTCTTCTACTCCTTCTATTCCTGAAACACTTTTGGATACGTGAAAAATGCTAAATCACAGGTTTTATAGCCATTACGGACTAAGATGAATAAGTGGAACAAAAGCAGAAGAAAGGAAAGAAATATATTCTAGCTATTCATAGACTGTGAAGTATGGACAGAATAACTCAAGAAAACAAAGTATCTATCATGAAAACAGTATGAAATCTGCTTAAAACACATTTAAGTCAAGCAATTTTTAAAGTTATTTATTTTAAAAATCTTGTTCCTATAACCAGAAGCTCTGTGTCAAAAAGTAGTTTGTTTCTGAAAACAGTCAGTGACTAAGATTATTGCAAAGAACTTAAATTTCAATGTATGTGAACTCCAGTGACAGTGAAGTTAAAAAAAGAAAACAAAGAGTGGGAAGATATTTCTCTCTTCAAAAAAGGAAGAAAGAAAGAAAACTTGCAGTGAAAATTCTGAGAGGTAGGTAGAGTTTCTTTGAAATGAAGTATCAATTTTGTTTCTAGTTTCATGGCAAAAAAATAAAGTGAGTCTAAGAAAGTGTTTCCAGCAAAGCAGTAACCACAACCTTCTTACTCACCCATATGCCTGACTCATGTGGCTGAAGGATGAGTGTCATCACAGTGAGACATGATCTAAGGACATTCACAAATATAGGTCACACATACACCAGAAGATTTTAATAAGTAAGCAATTGAGAGAGAGAAAAGCCCAACATGTGTCTCTTTGAAACCATAAATGGAGAAGAGGGAGAGGACCAGAATTCATTAAGGACCAGTAAGGGTTGGAGAGAAGGTATCAAACTAGACAAAGACTGCTGTTTTCATTAACTTCTTTCACAGCATTATTCAAAGACATATTATCTTTAAAGTGTTTGGCTGTACTTCCATTTTGATAAATTTAAAAAGAGAGTTCTACTTTTTATTGTGAAAGCTAAAAATGGAAAAAATGATCAGTCAGGAATTCAGATTAAAACACATTTCTTATCAATCAGATGGCCCCAAGCATCAGGTGTCATCTGTGGTCCCACTCACTTATCACAGGTTCAGCCCTTGTGGGTTAATTAGGCAAACTTGCACACATGGAGTAATAAAAAAAAATCACAGGGTGAAAAAATGACCGTAGTATCCTTTGAGGCATTTCTCCATTTTCTACTGATAAGATCTTGATCATTATCCTTTGCACAGACCACTGAGCTACGGGCTGTCCACCAAGAATACACTGAATGATGAGGTCAGATTATTCTACACAGGCATGCTTCATGTTGCAGATATAATATTGAATCTTTCCAGCAACACAATATGTGGCCTTTTCCCATAGGCTATGAGTTTATCCTTCTATAAAAAGAGCATAATGCCTGGCCATCTGAATAGCTCACTTTGCTTCTTTGATTTTAATCAGTACTGTATATTTACCTAATTCCAGAGGCATTAATGGACTCACGTATAACATTGTTAGTGGCAAAGAGCAGGTCCATATAATTTGTTGCCCAAACTGAGATACTTCTGAGAGTGAAAGAGGAACTAGTAAGATTCTTGGGCAATGGGTGTAAAATGAGATTTTCCTGGACAGTTGGGGATGTATGGTGGCCTATAAAGAGGGGACTGAATCCCAGACCCTAACATTGTCTCGTACTTACAAAAATAACATGCGGAATTTCAGATCAAAAAAAGCCAGTTAAAACTTCTATTCTGGATAGTTCTGGCATTCCCCTCACTTCCTTTCTTTACCTGTTCCTTTACCTATTCCTGTACTGTCTGGCTATGATCTTATATTTAGACACTATACTTCATCCAAGTGAATCTTCCAATATTTTACTGAGTTTTAGTTAAAATCTCCATATAGTCAATTTAAAGTTCAAAGGGAGCATGATAAAAAATTCTAGTAACAAACATGTTTTCAAAAGATGTCATAAGGTCAAAGAATGGCTTTTTTCTCTGCTCGGGCTTTTTAAAAAAGAGAAGCCACGATGTTCTGTTTTTAGAGCTATTTGGATTTCTATTCTAAAAATAAAAAATAAAAGACACCACATTGAGAACATGTAAAAAATGAAAGAAAAATTCAGGAGATTTACACCAAAGAAACTAAACCCAGGGCTGTGATCATCACAGGCTCTGTGTAAGCCACAGCAGAGCGGGCGACAAGCCCAAAGGGACATGGAAGAAACATGAATATAGTCGGCACTGTGAGTTAATGATGTTATTTATTGGCTCTTGTGCAGGGGTCAGGTACTTGGGTTTAAGGTCATGGACTTCAGATAATTTATTTTGAAAGTTCAATCCTAAGTCTGGGACAATTGCCTTTATTGTGTGATTTGGCATGTTCTAAAAATCTTCCCCACTGGAAAATACATCTGACTGAATCTGTCATGGAACCTGACAATCTGGTATTATAGTACTATGTTCCCTAGGCAATCTGGAACCTGGTCCTATATTCCCTGACATCTTCTATAACGGTGGTTGTTGCTTGTCTGGGTCACAGACCTCTTTTGAGAATCTGATAAAAGACATAGATCCTCTCCATAACCCCACCACCAAAAAAATGCATAGGTGACATTCACAGAATACTGTGAATACTTTTAGGAATTTTGGGGAATTTCCTCACTGTTCATCAATTTTACCCACAGGTAAGTTAAAACTGCTGCTCTTTTAGGACATCAGAAGAAACGTGTTTTTTTCTAATGGTCTTAGATATGTTGCCAACTGAGGGCAACATGTTCACAAACTAATTCTTTTAGGGCAATATATGTTAAACTATTATGGTATATTTTTGCCTGATAATTAGTAGAATCTTCAAGAATTAAGACACATGACTTAGAAATGTGAACAGTAATAAAACTAAGAAAGTCTGCATTTATAGATAATCCATATCTTTTCTGTATTCAACTATGTTTCATTAAGTATTAACTATGTTTCAGATATTCTGATATGCCCTGAGAATAAAATGAAGAATAAGTTAAAGACAATAATTCTAACACATCAGCTAATGCTTATAATAAAATGGTGAGGGTTTGCAGGGAGATAATTGACCAAAAACAATGATAAACATATATTAAGAACTTGCTAAATGCCAGGCTGCGTGATCCGTCTATATTTACAGCCAAATGCAGTAAATATTTTTTAATTAAAAATTATTTTACAATGAAGATACTCTAGCACAGACAGCCTGAGCGACTTGCCAAGGTCACTCAGCTGGAGAAGTGACAGAGGAAGGAAATGAGGCCAGGGCTGTATGTCATAGAGGCTCTAATTCTACTTTTGCATTATCTAGAATTGTTCTTTATAAACTAAATCTAGAAGGCATGTGCATTGTGAATAAAAGAGGGAGATTTGGGCAAGGGAGTGATGGGGAAGACTAGTTACAGGCAGTTGTCGGAGATACTGAACTTGAACTCAATCTTGACAAAGCTGGGCAGGAAGAAGTATATTTAAGAGATTGAACTTAGTAATTAGTCAAAAGAGGTCAAGGGTAAATAAAACTCAGGAGTGACTCACAGGTTTCTGACTTGAGTGGCTTAGAAAATGAAGGTGTCTGAGATGAAATACGAAAGAGAAGCAGCTTGGAGGAAGGAAAGAAATGTGACTATTATCCAGTCAAGATTCTTGAGTTGACAGTGCCTATAGCACACCTAGTAGACCACTGAATATATTGATCTAGGGTTCAAGAAAGGTTTTTAATTAGTACAGGACTTTTTAAAGTGTGGTGCACAGACCGGGAGTATTCCCTGATACCCTTTTGAGAAACTCATGAGGTCAAAACTATTTAAATAACATCACTAAGACGTGAACATATTTGCCTTTTTTTGTTCTGTTGGTATTTGCACTGACGATGTGAAAACAATGGTGGATAATACTACTGGTGCCTTAGCACACGTATAGGCAGTAGCATCTACTACTGGGAGCCTGGCAGCTTTCAAACACTTTAAGGCTTTCCTGAGAAGATAGGCGATGATGTTTCAAATGTGATTGGTTGGTTTGTTTTGATGTTGTATAATAAAAACTATCAACATTTGGAAAATGTGTAACCCAAGAAATCAATATTTTTCCAAATAACAAATACGCGATGTTGTAATATCATGCCTGGGTAAAAGATCCATTCAAAGTGCAAGGTAGACCAGTGGATTTTAATGCAATAAAGTATGAGAAGTTATTTACTACAGTTTTGGATTCTACCTTGCAATTGCTTTTTTTGAAACTACCTCATTGATATTTGGTATAGTATCAAAGAAGAATATTCATAGTCACATGAAAAGACTAATACACCTCTCTTACCAACTATATATCTGTGTGAGGCCAAATTGTCTTTATATACTTCAACCAAAACAGAATATCACAACAGATTGAATGCAGAGGCAGATGAGAATCTACCTGTCTTCTATAAAGCCAGGCATAAGAGAGTTGCAAAAATGCAAAACAGTGTCATTTTTGTCACTAATTTTTTTAGTTTGGGAACATAGTTATTTTTCATTAAAAACATATTACTTATGTTAGTAGGTAATATTAGTACTTTTACATTGGTAAGTAATGGATCTATTACTTTAATGGATAAGTAGTGGATCTTTTAAATTAATTAGTAAATGTTCTAGAACCTTTCTATATTTAATGCAATAAGTATCAATAGATATGACCACATAATTAAAAACTCTTGATGTGTTCTCAATAGTTTTTAGAAGTGTAAAGAGTTACTAAGAAAAAAATATTTGAGAATCACTGAACTGGTATATTGAATTGGTATATATAAGACTAATCAGAATATATATGGTAACTAAAGCCATAGACAAGAGAGAACATTATTTTAAGTAATCTTCAATAAGAAGTTAATTAAAACTATTACTAACCTGTGAGTGGTAATAGTTAAGAGGATTTAAGAGAAAGGAATTATAAAAGAGAGTTCCTTGAAAGCCAGGGAAGATAGGAAAATTCTAAACACTTGAAACTAACTGAAGGGATAATTGAGGGACATCAATTTCACTATTTTCTCTAAGGTCAAACTTGGTATTTAATAGATGTCTCTTCATGGTGAAAGTAGGAACAAGCAAAGGCATGCACCTGAACAGCTTGATTCAAATGGCCACATTCCAGGCCAATTAAATACTTCTGAGTTTCTTAAATAAAATGTACAATAACCAATCAGAAAGACTGTGCCATTAATTAATTTGCTATGACAGCTCAAGCCAAGAAATGGACAATACGGAAATGGAACATTAGAAAATTTAATTGATAAAGAATTTGAAAATAACCTTTATAAACAAAGGTAAAAGAACTTGGATTATTTTTTAATGACAGTCTTTCAACATTAAGAAGGACACCACTGATTTGATTTTATTTGAAAACCTAATGAAAAGATGCATGCTAAAATATTTAAAAGGGCTCAGGCTAGCAACTACAAAATTGTATTGACACGCTGAAATATTATAAAGTTAACAACCCCCAAAGATCAAAAGAATAACAAACCAGCATCTTAAATGTGAACATTTAAAGAGCAAATGGTAATGCTTGTAGGTATCTTGGAGTCCTGTGGGTGTTGATCTGATTTTACACTGTGGTTCATCTAGATTGGAATGTTTAGCCCAATCTCATATTCAGGGGTAATGGCAAGTAAAACCCAGTAAAGCTAAGGGAAATGTTTTGTCCCATGAATCTTCCGGTTAAAAAAACACACTAATCTGTGTGACCAAAAGCAGCACTATAGGTCTTCACTTTATTGAATGCTGGAAAAAAATAATATTTCTGCTAAAGGCAGTAATCTTTAGGTCATTGTGGAGTTTTGTTTTAAGGTGTACTTATGTGTGCCTGTTTGTGAGCAACGATTTATGTTGTGTTTATCAAATTTATATACATACATATTCTTTCTTTCTTTTTATCCATTTGGACACATAGAACCTTAGGAATCTGTGAAGCATCACTGCTTTCTCCCTTACCCACTAGACAATCCACATTATCCACTCAAGATGCAAAATTGCCAGGAAACAAACCCTCTGTGGGAGCAGGTCATTTCATACCATAATAGCTCAATGACACCCTCTAGTGGGTAGTCTCCATGCTGTAATTTTGAGGAGGAAAAAATTGCTCTTAGTTTCCACTTTATCCTCAATTATAATATATGGCATTTTGAGAATTTGCACATTTCATAAGAAAAACATAACTTAATGGTTAATATGTTCTCAATGAAGACTGAATTAAAAAGCAGAAATTGAGTATCTAAGATGAACTTAGAATCATAAAAAATATACAAAAGCAAACTGACCTCAGAATGGCAAAAGAAGACTCCTCCTCAGCTGTAACGACCCACTCAGAGTCCCCAGAGATGGTTTTGACAATACAACTTGACTGCCATGACCAGAAGTATCCCTCCTGCAGAGACACATTTAAAGTAAAAGCAAGGAAAAGTTTGTTATAAACACCGCTAAATCAAAAAGGCTGCATAAGAAAGAGAAAGAATAAAAGGAAGATATCTTTCCTTTGTCAATACATCTTTGCTACAGCAAAAATTCCAGATGAGTTTTCTTTGGTCGGTAGATTAGAGAATACACCAACAAGCTAAAAAGAAATAAGGGTCTATAAATAGTTCTATCTCAGATAGCGGATTGAAGGCCATTTGTGAACATGTTCCTACACAATTTGCGACATGATCCATGAGCAAGTCCAATATTATGCCATCATTGTGGGAGTCAATGGGTTAAGACCCAGAACTTAATTGTCTATAGTTTGGGCCATTGAAAAACTTAACGCAGATATTTAGCAAAGCGTTCTGGAGCAGCGCAGACCACACTCTCAGAACGAGATTTCTCTGGGGCACACTGTGCAGGATCCCACAGGACCAGCTACAAAGCTATCAGCATGAATGAAGCATTATCGGCAGCCCCTTCCCAAGTAAAAACTGCAGATTAATATCAAAACCCACTGCATGTCTGTTCATTTTAAATGTCTGTCGTCATTTCTACTTTTCTTAGTGAATATAGGTTCAGGATTTCAAAACTATTTTTTTGTAAATTGGTCAACTTAATACAAATAGATGTCTGAATTACCAAAACCGGATTTGACTCTTCAATATCAATTTTCTCGTTCCCAAGAAGGAAACAATTTTTGCATCCCTTTTACTGAGTTTTATTTTAACCTGGATGTGTTTCATAATATATTTCATATTCCAGATTAGTGGGCAGAAGTTCTGCCCACTGTTAGTGCAGTGCAGTTTAGCATGAGAGGCAACTGGTTATTCCTCTTGAGTCAGAAGACTTGATTTAGAGGTTTGGATCATAACTCTGCAAATGACAAGTTGTGTGGCGTTGATGGAGTAAAAAAAAATCATCCTTGATGCTGTTTCCTTGGCTGAAAAATATAGGGGAAATAATCCGTGATTGTTTTACCTCAGAGTGTACTAAAGGATTTACAAGATCACTTACTTATGCAAAAGCACCAAGTGTATAGTACCCAATTGGTATTTTTTTTAATGTTTGATGAGTTTCTCCTTTTTAATAGGTATCTTGAGTTTTATCTAGTAGTTTTTTCTTTAACAAATATTAAAGTGAAAGGGTTTTTCTCCCAGTTATTAGTGACAAAATGAGAGTGAAGCTAGTTTAGTGCAGGCACCCAGAAACTTTTCAAAATGAGTGTGTCTCCTTGCTAGTCCTTGCCCATCCCCCCTTTCCCAAACACAGTCCTGTGTTTTTTTTGTTTTTTTTTTTTCTCGGAGATAGGATGATGACACATTGGTTCATAACAGCAGCACATCTGCTGCATATTATTGTGAAGATGTCATTGGAAGCCCAAGAATCTATAGGAATTGTTCAAATCCTTTGATCTTGAACCAGAAATCTTTCTTTGCCATTACTAAATAAAAATGTATTCCAGTTAGACTCAGAACCATGAAATTTGATGTGACTTTATACTTGAAAATGTTTGCCTTCAAAAAAATTTTTTTAAGGAATATACATATATTGTTCAGTTGTTGTCTTTTAGGAGTCTATCAGTATCCACAGGGAAAACGTGTAACCTGGAAGAAAAGAAATTCCCACTAGAAGAGAAAGATGTACTTTCTGTGGTTGATTATTTTTTGTATTGGTATTTGTTTCCTAGGGCTGCCAGAACAAAGTACCACATGCTGGGTGGCATGAAATAACAGAAATGTATTCTCTCACACTTCTAGGGCTAGAAGTCTTAAATCATGATGTCAACAGGATTGGGTTCTACTTGAAGCTTTCAGGGAGAATCTGTTCCATGCTTCTCTTATAGCTTCTGGTGGTTGCTGGCAATTCTTGACATCCCTTGGCCTGGAGACCCATCATCTAATTTCTGTCATCATCTTCATATGGCATTCTCCTCTAAGTGTGTCTTTGTCCAAATTTCCCTTTCCTGATAAGAACATCAGTCATTAGATTAAGGCCCACCCTAATCCAGTGTGGCCTCATCTTAATTTGATTACATGTGTAAAAACCCTATTTCCAAATAAAGGCATGAGCAGGTGCCAAGGCTGAGAACATGAACATGTATTTTGAGGTGTGAAATTCAGCCCAAAATACCTGACCCCCAAAAGACTACATAGACCCCAAATTAAACTTATCCATTAATGGCAGTGGTCTTCTCGACTTAAAATGATATTTTAAAATATTTTCCAGAAGTTAATTGTTAACTGGGACAGCAGCTCATTTAATAAAGAAAATTTCTTTTTAAAAAAACATTGTAATGTGAACTAAATACTTTAGAATATTTAATAAATTAATATATGTGGTTTATAAAACTGTGCCAATCACAGTTTACAATAGCATAAGACAGAATTTTTAAAATGCCATTCCCTTAATATGTTGACTTTTGATGCACAGGTTTTACACAATGACACCTGCTTTTGAGTCCCAATGCTCTACATCAGAGGGAGAATTTTAAAAATTAAAATCATAGTTATTAATGAGGCTTCTAATTTTTGGCATTTGATTCAATTTCTTCTTCAGCAAAACTTTTTATAAGAGCTATACTAAGTAAAAAGATTGATAAATTTTATGCTTCACGTTTTTTTTATTTTCCCTGGGATGGGTTGCTAACACAAAGCTGATAGGACGTCAAAAAATTGAGCAACTTGACATCTAGATAATCAGCTCCATGAAAATCTAAGCAAAACTGAGTAATGAAAAAAGGATGGGTGATACTGTTTGGGTGTGTGTCCCTTCAAAATCTCATGCTGAAATTGGATCCCTAATGTTGGAGGTGGGGCCTAGTGGGTGGTGTTTGGGTCATGGAGGCAGATCCTTCATTAATAGATTAATGTCCTCCCTGGGTGTGGCACAAGAGTGACTTTCACTCTATTAGTTGCTGCAAGAGCTAGTTGGTGAAAAAAAAGCCTGGCACCTCACTTCTCTCTCGCTTCCTCTTTTGCCGTGTGATCTTCACACACACTTTGCTTTCCCCCATGAGCAGAAGCCGCCTGAGGTCCTCACCAGAAGCTGAACAGATGTCAGCACCATGCTTCATGTATAGCCTGCAGAACTGTGAGCCACATAAACCACTTGTCTTTATAAATTACTCAGCCTCAGATATTTCTGTATAGCAATGCTAAATGAACTAAGACAGTGGGATCCCGCTTAGAGCTGAGTTCAAATCCCTGTTCATTCTTTCATTAACTACATAACTTTGAGCAAGTTGTTTAATCTATTTTAGTCCCTATATCCTTATATCATTTTAATCCCTATTGTTGTGGGGACATTAAAGAAAAAGCAAATATAAAGCAGTGGGCACAAATTAGGTGCCTAGTTAGTGCTTTCTCCTGATTCCAAGTGTTAATCATTCCAAGCCTTTGGTGTTTGCCTCAGTTAATAAGAATCTCAGTGTCTGTCAGCTCAGACCTTAAATAAATATTGTCTATAAAGCAAAAGAATACACAATGCAATTCTGATTCCAAAAAGCACCTTTTTAATCTAGTCAGCGTAGTTTAATAAATAGATTTTATTGCCAAAAATAAAAACATTATATTAACTGTGTGTAAAAACAGGGTAGTGTAGTAATAATACCTACCCATAACCAGAAAAGTGAGAGTCACAGAATCAATCTGTGAACTCCATACAGCAAAATGAACAAGACGTTCATGACAGAATTATGTTGACTAATAAATATATTCTCTCAGGTTGGTCTTTTCCTTGCTTATGTTAGAAACAAGGTGTGCAGATGCCTCATGTGTGTTCTCTCTATTTCACTTTTCCCTCCGTCAAACCTCCTGAAGCAATAAAACAGCTAACTTCACCTTCCTCAATGATCCTTTTATCTCATCACTGCAGTTATCCTTTCTGTCAAATTACAAATAATGCTCACAAATTTTAACCCACCAGCCAGAATGGCCCCAGTTCTAACCCAACTCAGAAACTAGCCTGAATAGTCACCCTTCTTAGAGAACTCTTCCATTTTTATCTCTGGGATATTTTGCATCTCATGCTGTATAACTATTAGTGTAGTTTTTGAAATGGATTTTATTATAAATAATAAAAGCTTTACAATAACATTGCACAAAACTACACTGCCAAAGTGGTAATTCATCACCATAAGCAGCAGAGTAAAAACAAAAAACAAACAAACAAACAAAAAATCCCAGAAAATTACATGTCTCCCTTCAAGATCTGCCTACAACTCTCTTCCACAGAGGTTTTCTAGACACTCTGTCACTGGCTGTGATCCCAGACATGCCCTCACTTCTCATGAAGCCTCCTACCCCTGCAGTACTTGGCACTTATTCCAGCTATGTCTGTGGTTGGTGGGATGCATGCTTACATTTGTCCATTCTTTGCAGGTGCTTTTCTGTGTTATGTTTATGGACTTTTCTATACTGTCCCCCATTAAAAGGGAGTGTGTGTGTGTGTGTGTGTGTGTGTGTGTGTGTGTGTGTGTCTGCACGTGTGTGCGCGACTTTTCTGTTCTGCCATTTTCTAAACACATAGTAACTGCAGATTCCTAGAGGACCTGTGGATCAAGAATGCTTCTCTTGTACTGGTTATTGATGTGCCCAGATAAATATTGGATACCTTCCCTAAAAGAGGCTTATAATCTAATGTGATTAAACATATTTTAAACGGTACATAGCAGTCAACAGAGTCATTATATTTCAGTTGTTAGCAGCATGTTTATTTGATCTGAAACACATATCTATAAAGTAACCTCTGTAAGTGAAAGAACAAAGGAACATAATATTCTCCCATTTTGTAGTTTTAAAAGCTGTGCACCATCTTTCTTTTTGAATTGCTGCCCCATCATGTTTGAGAAGAGTTGGCTGTTTCCTGCTTAGCTCCATTCATTTCCTTGACATCCTTTGATTCGGGCCTGGCTCCCTAGCCGCAATCCTTCCTTGTCACAGAGGTCCTGCCAGTGCAGCTCATTCAGTAGCCATCATCACAGTGAACTCTATCCCAGCAGCTCCAGATGGAAGATGGGGATAAACAGCTCCCCCCAGAGTGTTCTTCGATGTGATGCCATCAATCAACCTGCAGCTGGGACCAAAGAACCACTCAGTGATGGAGCCAGTGACTTCCTGCCAAAAACATAGCACATTTCTTAGTGCCCAGCTTCCTCCAAAAGAGGGATGTCATACCACATATTTTAGCATTCAAGAAGCCCTCAATACCTAAGATTTATGTCCAACTGTATGTAATCATGACCATTAATATTCTTTCAGGTTTGATTTTTTTAAGTATAACAGATACTCAATGTGGTAACTGTATCCATTTTACTTCCCTCTGGAAAGGAGAATTGTCTTGTTTGCTTGTTTCTTTAATAAATCACAATATAGAAAATCAAATAATCAGCTATTTTCCAAAGCTAGTTAGTACATTAAATTATTTTTATGATGCATTCCTGTTATCCTGTTACAGAGAGTGTTAGCATCTGCTGGCTGATGACGTGCAGCAGTGGTAAGCGGTTCATTTTTGTCTGCAAGTAGCAGACAGAGGGTGGTCCTTCTTTAAGCCAAGATCAAAATTGATAGTGAACAGTTGGAACTCTGCAGCACAAGAGGCTTGGCACCCACACACTGTAGGGTAAACATCCTTGTGTTGCCTGCCAGGGATCCATCCCTCTCCACCATAATGTGGGAAGGAGGGTGGTGCTGTAAAACATCACCATGGGCTATATGGGTAAAGAATAACCATCAGTGAAAAATATTAAACTTCATATATAATTACAGTTTCCACACAAACATGTTAAGTCAAGTCATGGCACTTGCTTCTACTTACTAACATTATTTAGGTTAGGCTGATAAAAGTCATTTTCTTGGAATAAAGACTGTGGTATTTAAGAATATCCTCCCCCAAATTGTGTATAGCTTCCCTTCTATTCTCTTCTCTAAGATGCTTTGAGTCTCCCTCTCCCAACGTCCTAATTTGCAAGCAGTAGGAGAATTCTCCTGAGCTCTGCAAATCATCCATTTCTGGTTCTATAAACTAAATTTCCTTTTCTCTGGTTAAAGAAGAAGAAATCAGTCCACATACAGATAAAGAATGTCTATTTTTACAAATGTTTTTTCCATTTCTACTTACACACACACACACACACACACACACTTGCTTCCACCTAATTTCTGCTTCAAAAGAGAGAGGAAATTCTAGGGAAATTAGACACATTAATTTCACATGATTGTGTGCGTCTGTTAATGCACATGAGAGATTCCAGGTGGGAGTAAAAGCATATAGAATCAGAGAGCTTGGATTGAGTTGCATGATAAGAAGGCACAAAGATCAGCTTATGATATTTGGGAGTTGTTCATGTCAGCATCTTCACTTTCCACAGGTGATAAACTGATGCCCACAGACATAACATTAGTTGCTCCATGAAGTCACACTGAACAGGCCAAAGACTTTGGATCATTAAGTTATGTCATAGCCAATAGCTGAAATGAAAACTTCATGAAATCATTTGGGAAAAATTGTTCTCTCAAGACAATATATAATTACTTATTCACTCCTTCTATTAGCATCTCTTGAGCAACTAGTATGTTCAAGTAATTATGTGGCTTATGAAAACATGATTGAGTCCCTTGCATCAAAAGAGAGATAAGCCTAGAAACAACTATAATATAAGGCAGACAATAAACCCAAGATGTATGTAAGTTAAAACTCACTACTTAGCATTCTTATATCAAGGCAATAACCCATCTGATAAGGGAAACAATAGAATATGAGATATAAATTTGGGAAATCTCTGAGATTCTATTATATACAAGCCATTTAGATTCAGGTCAATTAAACATGACTCAATATATTATATTGCATTCAAATTCTTCAACAATTTCCATTACAGGGACTTAGTACAATATCTAAAAATAATTTACACATAAATTCTAAATATCCACTTTCAAGGTGAAAAATATACCCCTCTTGATGGGTGCTGGATAATTGTTTTATAAATTCCAAGGTGCTAGATTATGCATAAAGTGGACTTGTCCTAGAAATTGATCCCTAAAGAAAGTACATGCTCTTTTATTTAAAACATTTTTATGAAAATCTCTGTAAGCTTAAGGTTCTTTGATAAATTATGTATATTTTACATTCTCACAATGAGAGTTTAGAAAAAGATCAGGCCTTTGTTTAGGGCACCTTTTTATTAGATGAGAACCAACAGAAATAATCTTTTTTTTTTTTTTTTTTGAGACGGAGTCTCGCTCTATCACCCAGGTTGGAGTGCAGTAGCATGATCTCATCTCAGAGTAGCTGGGACTACATGCACACACTGCCACGCCTGGCTAATTTTTTGTATCTTAGTAGAGATGGGGTTTCACCAAGTTGCCCAAGTTGGTCTCGAACACTTGAGCTCAGGCAATCCACCCGCCTTGGCCTCTCAATCTGCTAGGATTATATGCGTGAGCCACTGCGCCCGGCCCAGAAATGATTTTCTGTTACACAAACCCCTTTCACATTCTCTGACATAGGATTGCACCAATCTGCACTTTTCCTGGCTGAACACCTTTGCTTAACACTTCCAGAAGTCAAGAGGTTGTGTTGCTTCGAGTAGGCACTGCCACTTGGACCTTTGCTGATTCAGAGCACGAAAGCCTCAAAACGTTGATGTAGAGGCAAAATGTGTTAAAACTCAAACAAAATGTGTTAAAGTCATTTACAGACTAAGAGGATCAGGCTAAAGATTGTCTATTGATGAAACATCTACATACAATATCTCATTTTGTCTTCACAATGGCCCTGTGAGATAAAGTACTAGACAAGTACTAGAAATCCTGCCTCAAGATGAGAAAAAAGAATTCCTTGACTATAATTCCAAAAAAGGCCAAGGGAAAACTGAGCCTCAATTCTAGGCCTTCTGACTGCCAAGCCTCTCTTCCCACCACACCATATATTAAACAAAAGGCAAACTTTGTTCATTATCACATTTTTAAAACTTGACAAGAACTTAAGAGTCTTGTCAGATTTTATAGTCTGTGCCAGATTTCATATGATTATATTAAAGTGACACAAAAGAAGTATGAATTCAATTCTTAGCCAGAATATTTTCATTGAGGTAAGAAGCCAAGACATTTATAAACAGAATTCTTAGTGAATAAGTAAATATAAAATAGGTTGCTAATTATGGAGTACAGTCAATAAATACAATAGGTAAAAACAAATGTGAAAGTTCAACCACAACATGAAACACAGCTCCCGTGTGAGAATAGATTGATGGCTCCCACTAGCACTTGAAGATGGAAATTGTTTGACTCTTTCATTTAGGGAGGAGGGCAGGGAACAGGATTAGCAGTGGACAAAGCTCTAGATACAGATACGCTGCCTAGAAACCCTATTGCCGTTTGGTTTCTCACTGCTGAAAATTTACAGATACAAGAAAAAGTGAAGCAGAAATGCAATGTAAATTATTGAAGTGGTGCTGCCGTTTCCCGAAGCAGCTGGGATGGTCTGTCCATAAAACATTAACATGACATTTCTGAGTTTTGACAGGTCGTTTGGAAAAGAAAGGGTAAAAAATACACAAGCCCTTTGGTGGGAATGGAGACATTTGTTCAGATAAAAACAAACAAGCACTATGGCTGGTCTGCATGCCAGCTTCCACTGAAAAACAGGAAGAAAACATGAAAATTTAAAGCCCAACACTGAAACGGATTAAACTTGATTTGTTCACTATACTAACAGGCAGGATTAGAAGCATCCACAGCTTTTCTCTACTCTTTCAAGAAAGATGCCCTGCTGCCTAAACTGTGCTCAGCATTTAATTTATGCCCCTAGAAAATAATTGAGCTGCATGTCCTTTGTACACAATGAATTAATGTGTTTATTCATTGTGACTAGAGAGGATACAGGATAAAAAGTGTTAGTTTCCTTAGGTAGCAAAAAAAAAAAAAAAAGATTTCTCTCAGTACTGGTTTATAGGCAGGGCCAGCCTTAATTTCATGTAGACCATCATGAAGGATATTGACAAAAGACCACCTGCCACAGAATATGTCCTCCACCAAATAATCACCCCTAGAAACCAGAATCATTTTTTGGATGTAGGCACTGAAGTTCCAAGAAGTCCTCATCTTTAATGAGAACACATTTGTTGCAGTAAACATACCATAATGCTCTGAGTGTGAATCCATTGGCCCCTAGTCCCATTTCTATACAAACAATCTATACATATATACACAGCATTTGGGATTTTTAAAATATAGCTCAGCCGTGTTATAATTTCTCAAAGAAAAGTTTTATTAATGTCAAAATATCTTTCTTTAGAATATTGTCTACAAAATTTGCAAAATCAGGGCATTCATTGAAATAAACAGCAAGATGTGGTGAGATAATTTTGTAGACAAATGTTCTGCCACATTGGTATAAAAATTGGCAGCAGGGCAATGCGATTCTTCAAATTCTCCTTATATAAAAAGTAAGCCAAAGGAGAAAGTCAAATTACAAATAAGTAGGTTAGAAATTATTATGATTCTAAATGCTAACACCCTACAGTGAAATTTTTTTCTTGCAATTTTTACAAGCGCATGTAACTAAAATTGATAAACTAGATTAGATTCATGGTTCCTCCATTTTTGTACCTTTTTCTGAGAGTCACACCAAGATAGGTTCATGGGAGATGTGATTGTTCCACAGAAATCAACTAATAAAATGTAACTGATATACTTCGAATAGCTTAAGCTTCCTTAAATTACTTATTATGGTTCAAAAAATGACTTATTTAGACTTTCTGTGGAGTTATTTATATTTCATATCTTCTCACTGCTTTAATAAGCATAAATAACCAGAAGTGTTCACAAATTATAGATGCAGATAGGCTATGTGTTTCACACTGGAGTCAGTTTTCTATGTCTTTCCAGGATTTGGTTTCCTGATACAATGGCACTCCAAGAACTAGAGTTCGGGCCATATACTGCATGCCTATGTGTTCAGCCTTGTCCAAGCCTTAAGAATAATTTGACTCCAGTGCAGGAATAATATGATCATCTATAAACCAATATTTGAATTGACAGCTAATCCTCTCTTTTATTCTTACATCATATTCTAGCAGCAGTTAAGTAATTGCCTTAGGCCCAAGATCCTGGGATAGGCCTCCCAGCATCCTTTCCTTGCCTCTCTGTCTCTCCATTTTTCCCCTCACTCCTTCCCAGTTCTGTCTTGGGGCTACAGTCTTGTTTCTCAACCTCAGTTCTCATAATTCTTTCTGTATTGTCTCTGCCAGTAGCTCCTTGAAGTAATGTAAGACTCATTCATCTATAACATAATTTCACCTCGTAGCTCCTGCTGAACCCCACCCTAATGCTGTGCCAAGAGGATTCCTCTGTTCAGTCCTAGACTTCTGAGATTTGGTGTTAGCGCCCATGTGCTTGTTGGGGCAATAAGTTCTAAATAGATGCCACTGACATCTTTATATTACATCCTTACATTTACATGAAACTTACCTCTAACGGGTTAAAATAGACAGTCCCTTGTACTTGGGATTGGAATTTCATGAATGACACTTATTTCTTTCCTTTATGTTTCCTTTAACTATTTCCCCTCCAGCTTGGCTGACAAAACTAAGCAACTCTAATTTTTTCAAGGTTCTCCTTGCCATCCAGCTCTCTCACACTTTAGCTGCACTTTTCAAGTCCTTATTCAATCCACTTATGCTCCACCATCATGACCTAATTACCTCTTAACGGGAGGGTGGGACCATCACACTGGTGATTAAACTTCTACATATGAATTTGGGGGGACACAAACATTTAGTTCATAGCAGTGCTACAGGAAAAAAGAAAAAGTCATATTACTATCTACAGAATTTATAACTGATTTTAATAACAAGTATCACTTATATTTTATGAAAAATTTCTAGAAACTTGAACAGGAAATTTGTTAAAAGGGGGCAAATTTTCCAGTTCAGTGACTACCAGGTATCTGGACATTTGTAATTAGGATCTCCTGAGATGAATTTTCTTTAATGGGAATCAGACATCTCTCAGCCTCCCCAGTCTGGCTGTAATAGTTTCCAATTTTCTTATTAAATATTATGTTTTGAATTTCTACATATTGCTTATTGGTGTCATTATGTGTGACTCTTATTTTACAAGCTCTTAGGAGAATTAAGAAAATAACTTTTATTTGGATGTGTACAATCAAAATATAACTGATAATTTTTTCTTTTCCATTTTGAAAGAGAAAAAAAGAGAGAAACATGGGTATATGGACACAGAGATGAAGATATAGAAATAGAAGTGGAGAGGCCAGTGCAGACAGAGTTAGATAAGTGTTGACTACCATTGCCCAGTCTAGTTAAACAGGCTGTTGGTAAAAGGAAGAGGTACTAATGGCCATCGTGATTTGACACAGACAAATATGACATGACATATTGTGGCCACTAAGCTATTGGCTACTTCACTACATTTTAAACAAGGACCCAGATTCTTTGTTCTACCAAGAACAAATGACATATACCTTGAGTACCACAGAAAGACTGGAAAGAAAGGGAAAAAGTGAGAGACTCACTAAACAGGTGAAGGAGAGAAAGGTATATAGAACTAAAGAGAAAGAGAGAAGAGAATGTGGAGAGGAGGCAGAGATTATAAAAGAGAAGATGGTATATGAGGCCCAGAAAATTCCGGAAGGGTTGAGTAAACTTGTCTTGACACATCCCCAATTCATCTAGGAGGTAGGTTGTTTGAACTTTCAGCTTCCCTTTATCCTTGTCACTTCTACAATAACCAAATGAACAATATTTGAAGGAAATTATGCTTCCAACTGAACAGCAGTGACCAAACACTAGGGGACAAAGATATCAGTCAAGGACTGACCCCTCCAGATACCCATGTACCCCTCCTCCCCACTGGATGCACCTATTGCTCTTCTCCTGGCTATTTTAAACAGCAGTACATGAAGCAGCTGGAGAGAGACAGGAAGGTGGCTTGTGTTGGGATTCCTAGTAACTGAGATAATTTTTTTTCCTTTAGAGAGGCAAATTAACACAACGGCCAAAACCCTAGACTAAACATCAGAGGCCAGCTAATAATCCTTAACCCACCACCTGCCCACTTGCAAGTCACTTAACCTCCTCGAGTAAAATTTAGCTATAAAAGGGGGCTAATTATTTTAATGAACAAATAACTTCTGTGTTAAAAGCTGTTTTAAAAGTATGCAATGTTATAGCAATTTAACAAATTAGCAATAATGAAATGATGAGTCAAATAGCGGTTTCCAAATGTGGTTAACTTTAATGCCTTAGCAATTGCATACGGCCTTTGAGGTTAGTGGCATACACACACACACAAACCTGAATGCTGTCATATCACAATTTTAGAAAAACTACAATAAGTGTTCTTGAAAAGTAATGTTCTCGTACATTTTGTTGGTATAAGGAAGATACATAAGAGAAAAACAGAAAATTGTGTGGAAAGGTTGATTAATGGGTACAAATATACAGTTTGATAGAAAAAATAAGACCTAGTGTTTGAAGACCAATAGGGTGACCATAGTTCACAATAATTTATTGTGTATCTCAAAATAGCTAGAAGAGAGTAGTTCAAATGTTTCTAGCATAAAGACAAATATATAAGGTGATGGATATCCCAAGTACACTGATTTGAAATAGATAAATAATTATTTTAAAAGAAAATCATAGCTATGTAATGGGAAATCAACTTTGTGGTTCTTATCTTTGCTTTTGCTTCTTGTTTGCAAGAGAAGTTCAAGAAATCATGGGTACAAGGTTACATTTACTGCAGAATTTGCAAGCATAAATGCTCAGGTAGGTAGGGAGGAAATATCATACATAAGAGGAAAACAGCCAAAAATTTTAAATTATATTCTTGGTAACTCATTAATACAGAATCATATGTACAGTGTTGCAGCTTCTCTTATGAGATAAAAAAAAAATTCACTTCAAGTGTTTGACACACCCTCAAAATGCTGGTAATTAGTATAATGGCTTTTGCCAAAGAATGGAACATATGCAAGATCGTACATAGTGTGTTTATAATTATTCATATCAAAAGGAGTGCCAGGGTGAACCCAGCTGAGCAGTGTGAGAGGCAGCTCCCTATGGTGAGGCGACAGTAGTTTGGTTCCTTCTTTTTCAGGGATAGCGTGCCCCAGTTGGTATCAGAAGGCTTCCTCATTGTTATCGCTTGTTCCTGCCTCCAGGACAGCCCCTTCCACAGGCCCCCCACCGTGGGGCCTTCCATCCTGCAATGAGCCATCTGGAGAAGAAAGCCTGGCCCAACTCCCTCTGGAAGTTGTTAGCTCTGTGTCATAGTTGGCTCCTAGGGCCTCCAGGGAGATGACCCGTTCACGGGCTTTCTTCCCATGTCAGGAAGCTGATTGTACCCTTCTCGCTACACTGTCAGCCTCTACTCGTTCTCCAAATTATAGAACAACTCTCTAAAGCAGACATGGGCTTCCCATGGGAAATGTAGGCTGCTACCCTGAAATTTCTTCTTAACAAGCATCAGGACCTAGCGGCTAAATTTAAGGAGAGAAACAAATGCCACCTTATTTTCTCTGGGTAGCTTTCAGAAATTTTTAAATTCATATATATATATATATATATATATATATATATATATACACATATATATAATATAGATATATGAAAAATTTAAATTCATTTATATGTATATATCTTTATATTTTATATGGAAAGAGACCGAATAATAAAACAAGCCACACAAATCTCTCAATGCAGTAGTCTAAAACCATGAATTTGTGAGTTAGAAAGACTTGTGTGTTTCAACACTGACTAGCTCTGTGATCTCAGGCAAGTTACCTAACTTTGCTGTTCCTCTGCTCTTGCATTTGTAAAAGTGTGTGTGTGTGTGTGTGTGTGTGTGTGTTGTGTATTAAGATTCATGGAAGGTACTTGAATCATAGAACTCTGAGTGCACAGATCAGACACACCAGAGAACTGAGTGCTCCTCTACCACATTCATTCATAAAAAGTACTTATTTAATGTTCCTACTAGATAGTAAGCCCCTGTATTAATCCTAGGGAGGAAAGGTAAACAAAAAACCTTTCTTCTTCCCAAAGAAATTCTTTCTCTAGGGGTGATATGAAACTATACAGTCCTAAGGCAGGTTTTGACAACAATCTTTCACAATTACTAAGTGTAGGGCTACAGAGTATCATAAATGACCATCTGGTACAATTCTTTATACTGTTTAGGTTCCTTCTCTTTACTGCCCTTACCAAAGGAAAAAAATATCAACCCCCTCTATAGTAAGATAGCTCAAAATGACCATCCTTAGAGAAACTTCAAGCTTCCACAAAAGGATTACTGCTTAATGCATTACTGGTTACAAGGCCCTTTTCAAATATATGTTATCAGCACCCTTTTCAAATAGTCTTTTTCAAGTTTATTCACTTCAGTGCTTCCCCCACTGCTCAGTACCATGAGGTCTCCTCTCCTTTCCCTGAATGTCACAATGCCTCTCCTCCCCTGCCAACCACTAGGCAATGGGGGAGGTAATCTTAAGTAGCACTTGCAAGAGAGAAAACCTGCAATTTCCATCTGTCAGGCAACTCAGGTGTAAGGGTCTCATCCTCCTTTCTTCCTGCAATATGGTTCTTATAAAAGACAGTTTCTGTTTAAAATTCTGAGGGCATGCTCTCTTTTCCACAGCACTAACAAGTGGTCATGTAGCCTGCCTGGGCTTGAACATGCAAACTTCCACTAAGCACCATTCCCTCTTTAGCTCAGGCAGACAGCTATAAACCTCTTCCTTATACTGAGCTCAAGGTTGGTGTTGTGCCTTTCTTGTCACATATCCTGCTAATGCTCCACCAAGACAAATTTCCTGATGCCCCTCACAACCCACTCTCCTCTTTTCTCCCCAAGACTCTGCTCTTGCTGTCCCTCCCTCTGGCTTATCCCTCCTGTCTCCCCTTTCCTTCCTTGCTTATTTTAAGATTGGTCTCAGGCATGGAACTCTCCAGGAAGCCAACCATGACCACCCCCAAAAAAATTGTTCAATAGTATTTGTTAAAGTACAGTAAGGAAGATTTTACTCAGGACCACTGCTATAGGTATAGAGACCACTGCAAAGGGGTCTTGCAGTGAGGGAGCGATTGGGCTCAACTTCGAATACAGCTTGGGTAAGTGGGAATTTATAGCCAAGGAACAGGATAGGGGTCAGTAATAGAAAATTATTAAGAAGAAACACCAAGGGTAAGGGGGATTCTGGCTAAACCAACTTAACCACATTCTAAAACTAAGACAGGGTGGTCAGACATCACCGGTGGATGGTAGAGGATGAGGAACTCAATCAGATATGGATGGTGATTAAGGGTTGGAGGTTCTTGGTAAACTACTTTAGCAGAGTTCCTTGCCAAACCTGCATTTTACAAGGAAGTCCACAGGTAAGCATAGGTGAAGGTTCAGAAGCCTAATCAAAGATTAGCCAGCAAACCCATCAGCCCAAACCCACTCCTACACCCTTATCTAAGGTTTGCTCAGCACTCCCCAAACTTTCTGTGCCTATCCCTAGTGTTTTACTCTCCCATTTCAGTTTGTTGTGATCATCTATGCACCTGACACCCCGATTCTAAACTGTAACCTTCTTGAAAGCATAAGCCATGTCTTATTCCACTTGACATTCGCAGTGCCTGCTACAAAACAGTCCCTCAAAAATGCTTGCTGAAAGAACAAACTCATTTTTTTCCTCCTGTAACTATCATTCATTGGTACAACTTTGATCGCATAGAACTAAAAACAAGGCTCTTCCTCTTTGGCAAGTCATTCATACATTTGAGGACAAATATCATCTCATGTAGTAATTCATTCATTTGTTCATTTGATTAGCAAATATTTGATTAATAGTCTCCTACATGAACAGTGTAATTGTAGATACCATAGAAAAGAATAAGTAAAGAATAAACCTTGCCATTGAAAATTTTATAATTTTGGATAGTTTTCCTCGGTTTTCCCTTCTCACTTATAAATTCCAACCCCTCACCTCATCCATCCCATTTAAACAAATATTTATTAAATTTGATAATACATTCAAATAGTCAAAATAAAATTAAACAGGATGCACTGAGAAAACTTATTCCTATCCCTGACCCTGTCTACATTATTTCCACTCTGCCTGCTATGGATAACCTAATATTTTAAACTCATTTTTATTATTTTGGGATCTCTTTATGCAAATAAAGAATTAACAAATGCATATATTTTATTTCCCCCATTTTAAATAAATGAAAGGTAACTTTCTGTATATACTATTGTGCACCTTCATTTTTTGTGTGCTTAACAATATAGCTTGAAAATCTTTCCCAATTAGTACATAAAGAGCTTTCTCGTTCATTCTTTAATAACAGCAGGTTATTTCATTATGAGGTTGCATCATAGTTTATTAAATTAGTATCCCAATTTTCGGCTATTGCTGCAGCCCCATAGTCTCCCAATTAAACATAGGGTTGCATTAGCTTTAAAGCAATCGTGTTACCCTGCTGGCATCATTAATATGCAAGCTTTTACAAGAAAATGCTACTCTTTTCCACATGAAATAGAATGAAGTTATTTCTCCTCCATTCTTTACTTTAAATGATTGATTTTGGTATAAAGGAGAAATTTTGCATGTATTACCACTAAACTTCATTTTTGTTTGTTTCAATTCATCATTCTCACATTCCAACATGACTTCTTGAATCTTGACTCTATTATCAATCATATTAGCTGCTCCTCACAGATTGGTGGCATATACAAATTTGATAAGTATGTTTTCCATTTTTATCCAAATAATTGATCTTCTTTTTCTGCCAGAATAAATCTCTTTCCCAGAGGAGGAGATCCTTCTTCTTATACCTTTGATTTCATCCCTTCAACGTTTGCTGGTTGCATGTTCCCTCAGTTAGTCCTGCTTTCCACAACACCTCCACTTTCCCTCTCTATTCATATCATTCATAGGCTATCCTCAGAATACTTCCCTTTCCCTTTACATCCACCTTAAATTCCACTGGACTCTGCTAACTTCTTAATTTATTTTCTTTCTTTCACAGGAAAATTTCTCAAATGCAGGTCTGTACTCAAGGTTTCCACTTCCTTCCCTCCTGTTCTGGATACCACATGACCACCAATGGTACCAATCACCCTCAACTCACAAGTCTCCCCTGCTCCTCCACGGATGTTGAAACATCAACAATTTTGCAACACAAGGCCCAGATGCCTCGCAGACAACCTCTGATTGTTGCTAAGTAGTGGATGCCTGATCTTGACAGACTTAGCTTACTTCCTGTTGCCTTCCTCCCAAACCAATACACTCAGTGAGAGCTTTTGATTTTGTGGCCCCTGCTTTAAGGTAAACAAGACTGAGTTCTAAACAAATTCTCCAAAACTACCTCCACATGACCCCTTCAAAGCAATTGTCTTTGCATAATATGCATTTATTCCAGAGTATGGCCATTGCTCAAAATATTTTAAAAATCTGTCTCTAATGCATCCTTTTATGTAATCTTAGTGGTAGAAAATAGTTTTTCATTAAAGAGTATATTTAAATTCACATTTAAGCCAAAAGTTATTTGAAAAAGTAAAAGTTTAATTTGACTAATGTTTTTAGTAAAAAACAGAGAGCAATTTGCAGTGTAGATTAATTTTCCTGTGAAACTGTTTTAAGGCAATTCTGCAAAAAGAAATTAAAAATATTATCTGAATAATGTCAGCATGTTTATTAAAATAAGTATAGTTTTTTTAAGGAGACTACCTTGAAAGTGAACATCCCTTTGAATGTATTTGATTTGGTTTGTTTAAAAATAGAGTCTCTTTACTTACCTAACTGGAATAATGAGACTACCATCCCCACCATTCCCAGTTTCCCCAATACCACCTTCAGTGGGGGCCAGGGAGGAAGAGGCCCCTGGTCTAAGAATTTACTAGCTCCAGTAAGCCTTCATGTTGTGAGGAGAGCAGTCACTGACAAGTATATGATCTAGTAATGGACCATATACTTATTATAAGGAATTTCCTTGCTCAATTATAAAGGTTAAAAAGTCCAAAGATCTGCAGTCAGCAAGCAGGAGACCCTGGAAAGCCAATGGTATAGTTTCAGTATGGGTCTGAAGGCCTGAAAGTCAGAATAGCTGATGGTGTAAGTTCCAGTCTGAAAACCAGTAGGCTCAAAACCCAAAAGTGGATTTTTTCTTTGATTTCAAAGGCAGAAAAAGATTAATGTTCCAAAACAAAGAACATTAAAACTATATATACATAGTTTTATATATTTTTTATTATATACATATATATAATGAAAGAAGATTAATGTTCCAGCTCAAGTAGTCAGGCAGGAGGAGTTCCCTTTTACTCAGCCTATTTGTTCAAGTCTTCAATTGATTGGATGAGGCCCACCCACATTAGGTGGATGATCTGCTTTTCTCAGTCTATTGACTTAAATGCTAATCTCATCCAAAAATACCCTCAAAGACACACCCAGAATAATATTTGACCAAATGTCTGGGTACTCCATGGCCCACTCAAGTTGACACATGAAATTAATCATTAAGTCTTTTAAAATTCATTTATTTTCATTTTTAAAATATGGATTTCTGGCTCCTCTTGCCATAATTCAAATATTACAGCAGGGGAGACTCATTGCTATGTAGTAACAGAAAGGTGGAGAAGGTAGAGGTTGCCACCATCCTCACCCTGCTCTGTGATACTGTGCCCTGCACTCACTTGAGTTTCTTGACTGGCCTCTGCACCATCTGAATCCGGCATCTCCCAGTTGAAGCTGTATTGTTAATTAGAGTTGATGTTGGTCTTTGAGAGGTTTGTGCATGTGTAAATGTGTGTGTGTTCCTATAGTTATTATCTTTGAGACAATGAGAAAAACGAAGAGACATATACACAACTTATATAATGGGGAGTCTTTCAAGGGGAACTGAAATCGAAGTGCACATAGCCACCTTAATGAGTTTTAAAGGATCTGAAATATCAAGATCCCTTCTTCCTATTCCCTGGCTACCCTGAGATGCAGAGAGTGACAAAAGGACACCACAGACTGTCTTACTGGAACTCCTGTGGCATTATTCTAGACTGAATTATGCAGACACAGGAACATGTAGTGTTGGGGAAAGGGGGCTTGATCTTGAGGCAGAACAATAAATTCTAGAGCTTTTGCATTGATTGGAATAGAAGTGATTCTGAAAGTGAGTAAATACCCAAGGACACTGGTTACTAAGCACTTTTAAAAACATTGATTTCTCAGTCCTTAATTTCAGGCAAATATTGACTGTTCCTTAATGCTAAGAGGCATAAGTGAAGATTAAGCGCTGAGCCAGAGAGCAACTTTGGGCTAAAGAGAAATAAATTCAAATTCCATTACAAAAGTAGTGAAATCCAAGTGCTGAATAAATTAACACGTGGTTTCTACCCACCTAGATACCTGGGATCCTCTAATACTTCCTTCCAGTACTCACCAGTAACCTCCCAGGTAAACTTATATAAGCTTCATTTTGCCCTCTGGTGGAAAACGAAGTTCTAAAGTTCCATTAGGCAAAAAAAGCATATTATATTCTTTTACTCCACATGGCTCTTAAGTAGGATTTTCATATAACAATGGCTCAACAAATATACACTAAATGAATGAATTTAATTTCCTTAAATATGTTTCTCATAGTTAAATTCAACAGTCATGTTAGCTGAGGGGCCACTGAGTAAAGAAAATAAAATTTTGATAGATAATTACACACACACACACACACACACACACACACACCAGTTAAAACACCACTCTACCTTGCTGTTATTTAATCAGCATGGCAAAGGTGAGAAGAGGGAGTCAATTCTCAAACTTATAAATGTGTTCTCAGTCACAGGTGCATAATTACTTTGCAAAGCCTATTAATTAAATCTTCCAAGTATTAATAGACTCCTAAGTTAACATGTTTTCCCCCACAATTGTGTTCACCTAATTCATACTTGAAGGCAAAGGTACACACAGAATTTCTAACTCATCCATGTGCAGAAAATTGTAGAGTAATCAGAAATCAGGGACAGAAGACTCACATTGAAAAAACAAGAGATAAAGGATAAAGAGAACTCAAAGCTAAATTACAAAGCATTTTTATGATGCTTCCTTTTGTTGGAATTGTGAAACTTTGGTGATTTTTGCAAAGGGAAATAATGTGATGAATTCATTTTCTAGATAAAAATAATTTGGCAGCTTCTTCAGACTCTCCCCTTCTGAAGTACGAGAGATGATGGGAGGGTGCTACCTTATGTAATTATATTAGTCCATTTTCACACTGCTGATAAAGACACATCTGAGACTGAGCTATTTACAAAAGAAAGAGGTTTAACTGGACTTACAGTTCCACGTGACTGGGGAAACCTCACAATCATGGCAGAAGGCAAGGAGGAGCAAGTCCCATCTTACGTGGATAGCAGCAGGCAAAAAATGAGAGAGCTTGTGCAGGAGAATGCCTCTTTTTAAAACCATTAGATCTCATGAGACTTATTCACTATCATGAGAACAGTAGGGGAAAGACTTGCTCCCATGATTACATTATCTCCCACCAGGTCCTTCCCACAACATGTGGAAATTCAAGATGAGATTTGGGTGGTGACACAGCCAAACCATACCAGTGCTACCTTATGTAATCCAATGATCCAGGTGGGAGGTAATGGGTTTACATTAGGGCATTACTGGTGAGAATGGAGACAGTGACACATAGCATAGATGTTCTGAAGGAGCAAGTAATAAGGATTCATGCCTGACAGAATGCAAGAAAAATGATCAAGTGTAATATCAAAGTTTCTACTTTGTATGATTGAGATAATGAAGATTCCATTGATAGAAATATTAGAAACAAATTGTCCATGGATATGCCTGGTCTTAGATGGCAGAAGGACATATCTTCTTTGTACGTAGTTTCCTCCTCCATAGAGAGGAGAAAATAGCATCTGTTTTTCAAATTTTAACGAAGATTAAATGAGATAATATAAAGTACTAAGAACAGTATCTGGGATGTCCTAAGCATCATCTAAGTCTTTGCCAATGTGTAAATACATTATCATAGACAGTTTCAGGTGTAAGAAGATAATTTAAATATGAGGTTTTCAACTACAATATAGATTTGAGTATCATCAACCTCTTTCCTGGATCAAGCCCTTTGTATTTGCTAATTTTTTTCTCCTGTCCTTCAAATGGCTAGATTATTTTTCATTATTCAGGCCTTATCTCCCTTGCTACACCAACAGAAACATTTCCATGTCTAAATTAGCTCAGATTCAAAATTCCCACATCGGTTTGTCTTTATACCACCCCATTGTTATCAGAAATCTTGCCCCAATGGTAATTGTTGTTTTTAGTTTATTAGTTTACTATTCCCACAAACTGGGATACCATACTAGGATGTGAGCACCAAAAGACAAAAAGTTTTGTTGTTAGTGGTGGTGTTAATGGTGGTGGTGGTGGTGGTGATACACATACAGAAACACTGCAATTGACAAAAACTCAGGTGGACCCTCACAGAACTGAGTGAAATGCTTGTCCAGGCATTACTAGGATTTATATTTTCACAGTTTCTCTAGTTGGTTCACCACTGAATCTCTGGCACTTAATATGGTTCCTGATACCCAATGAGAAGTTGCCTCTGTTAAAATCAGAAGGGTGTGCAGGAATAAGGGACTTAAAAGGGATAGAAAGCCACACACAGAAGCAACAGATGGAAGGTGTCATTGACTGTAGGTAAAAATAGCAGGAGGAGGAAGTGATGTTACCTGAGCTCTGGAGTGGGAGAAAAGGGGCCAACGACAAGAGCTGAAACCAGGATCTCAGTTCAACAGTGAGGAGATGAGAGGAGAAATAATCACCCCAACTCACTTTCCCCCCATCCTTCTATTGTCCAAGTCTAACCCAATACCAGAGAACAAGGGAGATGAGTGATACAGCTGTAGAAGTCATCCGCCCATGGCACAAAGCACGGCAAAGAAGGATTTGCAGCAAGCAGAGAATGACCAGCACAGCACTCAATGAATACTTGTGGTTTTTAAATCTATGTGTACATGAGAGTTAACACTGAAGGAATAGACAAGAACTCTAGCCAAAGTGTGATTAGATATGAACAAGAAATCAAGAAGCAACTATTTTTAAATGCCCTTATCTAGGGAATGAGAAAAAATGGAAGTTTAAGAGAAAAATATGACATTTGTTGAGGGTCACTACACTTTTCCATCACTATTTTCCATGGGCTAAAATTTTAATAGTAAATATTTTTAATAAGCAATTTTCCTTTCCCACATTTTGATTGAGACAAATTTCCCATTCCTTTTGAGGCTTATGGTGTTCATCTGACCTATTTAAAATGTAGAGTTCTGCCTTTGATAGTCTACTGGTAGGAAAAAAAAGATGAATATAATAAAAAAGAGGAAAAAGTCAATTGATTTCTACTACTGTCTTTTAAAAATTAAAATAAAATTTGTCAATTGATTACAGTCACCATATCTCTAAGCAAATTACCCTCAGGAATTTTAAGACAAACTTAGAAAAGATGAAGTAGATAAGACTTAGAAAAAGTGAACTAAGCAGATGTCAAAATGTCCTGCCTTCTCAGATAAGTCAGAAAAGCAGAAGAGTGAAAAATCATGAAAAATATAACAGATGAAAAAGGGAGGTCAGTTTCAAACTTGCAGATTTTAAGTAGATAGTTTCCATATTTGGAGATGGAGTAGGCTACACACTGAGCCATTCTAAGCAAATTTTACTTATAGAGAACATTCCCTACAGAAACTATAATATCTATATAGAGTTACTCAGAATGTTTGCAAACCTTTGGCAATCTACAACCCAAGATAAGATCTAAGTGTCTTGGTAAACAACAGGTCTCATTAGGCTCTTTGAAGCTGTGGTCTGTTGATGAGATGTTTCAAAGAGGACAGAGACTGTGTTGTTTTTGTTGTTAGTGGCGGTGGTAATGGTGGTGGTGATGGTGGTGGTGGTGGTTGTGATACACATACAGAAACACTGCAATTGACAAAAATCAGGTGGACCCTCACAGAACTGAGTGAAATGCTTGTCCAGGCATTACTAGGATTTATATTTTCACAGTTGCTCTTTTATAAGACCTAACATTGCCAACAGTGCCCCATCATAGCTCTCTAACATAAACTGTGATAACTAAAGCCCGAAACATTTCATTTTTTATAAAACTATCTAAACTTAGGCACTCAGATTATTTCATATGAGTTCTATTTGAAACGTCTCTAGAAATTTTCTAGGATGAAAATAAATCTGATAATTTTTATTTATCAAGGAAATAGGCTTGTCAGTTCTCTATTATCCACGTCCGGGGAAATTGAGAATGATTTCAAAGAATCATCAAGCCCTTGGAATTTGGTTTAAGAAAAACCTCAACCATACAGCAGTGCTGGCAGACAATTAGAGAGTATTTTAATGCTCTGAAGATTAATGACATAATGAGAAGAACTTTAGCACCATTTTACCTTTATATCCCCATAATATTGCCCTTTTGGTTACAAAAACTGCAGCATTCAGGCAGAAATACTGGGTCAGAGTGAATTATCCTTAGAATGTGGGGCCGAGACTTAGTCGATCTTTCTAGGCCCATTATCCCTAGGGGCTAGATAATATCTGGCACATAATATGCACTCAATAAATAGCTGCTGAATTAAAATGAATGAATGAATGAATGAACGAATGAATAATCACTTTAACTTGATCTAAAACACTCATCTCGAGAATGGAGAAAATTAGTAAATAGCGAATCATACTGGAACCTTGAGTGAAGACAGCCTGAGTATAGCTGAATTTCGATTATAATAATAAATTTGTTTGACCTAAAATTTTCCTTTATGGTTCAGGAAGCCCTCCTTATAGAACCTTCCCATAACATGGAACCTGCTCAGTTTAAGATTTAACAGAGCAATTCTTTCCTGACATCCAAGCCTCCTCACATTTTTAAGTCACAAGCCCTAAAAACTGATACTAACTATATCAGGCTTCATGCGTATTTTAGGAAAATTTGTGAATTTTTGTTCTTCGCATGATTGGAAATTGAGACAACAATGTTCTTCTTTTATCTAGTTAGGTAAGTGAGATGATCCCATCTTCATCCTAAATTCAGTCTCTTATGATCCCGACCCTAGGTAATTTTTTCTTTGATTTCACATTGAGAGACAGAAGTGAAGATAAAGAATCCTTATAAACTTTAGCCCAAAAGGAAAATGAATTTAATCCACTTGTTTTTATTTATTCTGGAAACAGGTATTCTAATTAGTGAATTGGGAGCTCTCTCATGTGCTTCTCTGCAGAAAGCTTTCAAGGAAAGATTCAGCTCCACTTGATTATCTATGGAACCAGAGTTGTGAATAGATGACTAATGGAGAATGTCTTTTGACTTGGCTCTCAAGTTGCATTCATCACATTCATTCATGGCACCAGTTCTACGGATGTCTTCTCCAGAGGCAGAAAGTTTCGCCATTTGGCCACCAGCTGATCTGGATATAGGCAAACCACACCATCTCCAGTATCCCTTTAAGAAAATGTTTCTCTTGCCATCTGCCAAGAAGCCAGAAACTGTGTTTTTAGTTGTGAAGGTTTGGATTGTCCTCTTTTTTATTTATTCAAGAAAATAATATGTACTGGTTGCCTACTTCATGCCAGGCACTCTGCTAAGAGTTGATCTTATGTGATGTGAGGCCAACTACCTCTAGGAGAAAGAGATCATTTTAAACTACAAGTGAGTTCTGTGTATGAGCATGAACTGGAATTCAACTCAGATTGTTCCGAAACCTTCTGTGTGCTGGGCATTCCTATATTAATTATTCCCTGTGATACCCATATTTTATAAATTTTTAAAAATGAGAGAGCCTGATTAGTCACCTCCAGATCAGAGAGTCATGGAGTAAGCCTCCTTCTTCACACACTGAGTTCTCTCTACCAAAACTCACTTTTATGTGCTACGTTTACTACCTTGGAGTTGTCTTCCCTACACTGGTGTTTCTCTTCCATTATATATGCCAAACTTGAAGAAAATGTGAGGCAAATAAATGTTATTTTATGAGAACCAAGAAATTTCAAAATTCTCTAGAGACTAAAATTTTAAAATAGGAATAAAATGCAAAGAATGGTTACAGTATTTTGAGAAATATGGCAAATGAAGATAGATTAAAAGTAGACTTAACTGAAAACTAACTTTTTAAATTTAAACAGATGCCTACAAACTAAACAGAATCTCTGATGAACTTAAAGGGTCAAGTTATTTCATGTCCTAAAAGAGGGGTCTGGTTGAAAACCCTAATTAAAGTTTCTAGGATAAGTCCCATAAACTTGAAACTCAAACTGGAAGCCTATATGTGTGTGCCAATTATTTTTCAGGCTAGATAGAATACAAGTCCTTGGCTTAAAATTCAATTCCCTTCAAAATCTGGTGGTGATTTCTTCTTCCAACTTGGACCAACCCTCCAATCTGATTTCATTGTGTCTCCTGAGCCCTCATAGTGGTCCATGTATGTCTGGGTAATAGCACTTACACTATATTGTAGTCATTGGTTATTCATCCATGTTCCCATAGATGATAGTCTTGGAGGACAGAAGCTGAATGTTTAAAGCTAATATGTTTTGAGTACATAGCCCTGTGCCAGACATTGCTCAAAGTGTGTTTCTTACTTAATTCTCAAAACAGTTCTGTGGTCTAGGTAAATCCCCATTTTGCAGATTAAAACAAAACAAAACAAAAAAACAAGTAAACAAGATTAGGTGACCTGACCAAAACCAACAACTCCTAATTCAAACTTAGAATTTAAATCCAATAAATCTAGCTCCAAAGCTTAACCACTTAACCACACTGTCTTCTTCTGTTATTCATATTTTTATTCCCAATGCTACCCAGTCCCTAGCACAGAGCAGATGCTCAATAAGTGTTGGATTGAAGAGTGAATGAAAGCCCAAAGCATTTCCACCACCAGCACTCACCCACCTCCTTATATCTCAACCTTCACAGCAGGAGATTTACTGCCCAGACTAAAATTAAATTACATTGCTTTTCTTAACTACACACTGACGAACTTGTGAAAGGAGACAGCTCAAAAATATGCTATGTGGCAAGGGAATATCAGTGCAGAACTAAGTTCCTCACACATAACCCACTAAGTGGTATTTGAGAGTTGGCTATATTTGATAACACATACTTAGATCCAAATATCTCAAGACCTTCATGAAATATTCATAGCTTTATGTTCATGAAATCCTCATTGCAATTCATAAATACTAACAACAATATTTTACCAAGAGAAAAAAATGCTTATAAAATTAAGTGATATGATTTGACAAAGGCCTGTCAGTAAATCTTTGGCTAAGACTGAAATAGATGCTGTAAATCTAACTATGTAGTCTCAAGAGGGAAGAATGAGTTTTCTCTCACGACCTCACCATCTCTGCTTAGCTACGTTTTTTTTTCTTCCAGGTTCCCTTTCTTCTTTTTTTCCATGGGATCCCATTTCTACCCTATGCCAAACACAGGAAAGAATGAAGTAGAGAAAATGGAACAATCCCTGCAGAAGTCAGAAAGCAGAAAATTCCTCAATTCCTCAGAGAACATTCACCCTTTCCTTTTCTGCTGCCTTCATATTCCCCTGCAACTACTTAGTAGTTATAAAAGTGTTACTGAAAGCTTACTCTGTAGGTAAATCAAATGTTCTCCTAAATAGGCCCAAAACCAAAACTTTCTTTGCCCAGCAGTGTCTCAGAACCATATTGGGATTCTAACATTCCACATATTTGCATCTATTTTTACCCCCAGAAAAAATAAGACAAACCAGATATGAAGTCAACTTTCCATTGACATTTTTTCCAGCATTAACCAAGTAGTACTTTTCTTTCTTAAAATCTTCTTGCTATCAGGACACATGGACATGAGACTGCCAGAATTTAACCAAGCAATGTCAAAAATGTGAGAAAATATAATTGTATCATTTGTGCAGAAAAAGTACAGAAATTTTTCTACATCTTCATCTCATTAGAAATTTGTTTATCAGGATAGAATGAACCTGAAGGACATAATTCTTCTTTATTGGACACATTGATTTATAATCCTAATATTGAGTAGATAATAAAGTACAGATCAACTAGTTTTCAGATCCACCAAAAAGTATCTATGGAATTTAGACAGTCTTAAAGTGTTAACACAAAATCAATATTTGACATATTAATATACTTAAATTTTATGCTGAAATGCATTAAGGGTTTAATGGAAGAAAATAAAATTATTCTAAGGTTCCAAATTAAGTAGAGTTAATGCCACAAACAACATATCATTTTCACTGTTTCCTGATGTAAAAGTTCTAAAGCACAGCGGGAAAAAAATTGTGCAGTTTTTCACTGGTGTAATAATTTAAGACTCCTATGATTGAAAAAATTGAACTATGATTAGTTGTCAGTTTTGAGTTAGTATTAAAAATGTTTTACTTTTTGTGTTAATAATAATTCAAATGCCTGTAATTTAAAAAAATTAATTTCACAGAGGTCTATTCATATTTCTTTGTTAAAAGAGTGAATAAGCAAAGAAAGAGAGCAAAGATATATAAAGAGCATTTCAACGCATTTGAAATATAATTGGGCATGTGGGAAGATCTTCAATATGCATCATAAAAACACATATAAAAATAAGAACTGAAATATTAGAATCTCTATAGTAAAAAAGGAAAATCCATGAGGGCTATATGCTATTAACTCTGTTTTGGTGAGGAATACTCAGTTATTTTGATAATTAGAGTTTGGTGAGTCATGAACTGTGTAATTTTGCATTTTTTCTAAAATGTAGGGCACTGTGTTGTAATCTATAATCAATGCCTTCATTGCAGATCTGAGCATAGGTACTTAAAATTAAGGGAGCACATTTTCAGTATTTTTTAATGCACTGAATATGATATCAGAATTTTAGATTATTTCTAAAGTCCTTTTCTTTTTTCTTCTAATCATAAAGTGTTTGGCAGCAATCTGGGCCCCCATCTGCTGATCAGCTTGAGAACTCCTGAAATTAATTTATCTGTTGCTCTAATTTTTGCTATTACTTGATGTTGGTACCCATCCCCATTTGCACAACATTGCACATCATACATGTTTTACAATAATATTTGTAATGTGCAGCCATAAAATCAAATCTTGAATTTTATCTTTGCAATTCTCTAAATTAGGCACCATAAGTTTCTCTAAAATACAGGGAAAAAACAACTCGAGACAACCTTATTTATGCCATTTCTTTAGGATTTAGAGAGTCTATGAAGCAGACTCATTTGAAGAAAAATGCCCCTTGAATTACTAAATATCCCTTGCTTGTTATTATTTTTGTTTCCGAGTTTCATTCCATAAGAGGAAAGAGCTTCTGATAGCCTGACTACATGATCTCCAAGGTTCCTATCAGTTCTAAAATTCTGCAGTTCTATGAAAATAGATTGATGAAGATAATGCCCAAGGAAGATTTTATTGCAAGATCACTTCTGTCTGACTCAGCCCCCAAAACTTAGGGTTTGAACTAAGGATATGTTAAAGCCAAATAAGAACACTTCTGCATTATTCATAAGCCAATTAACCAGATAAAAGAAGAAACATTTCTCCAAAGACTTTGATGATATGTTTTCTTAAAATAGCCTTGCTTTTCTTTGTTTTGTTTTTCCTTCCTTTTCCCTTTTATTTTTTCTTATAATTGCATTATTTGGGATGATTCAAATATCTTCTCTCTGACACATTAAAACTTCAGCTTCTTGTTACCTCTTTGACACTGTTTTAACATATTCCAATTGATTTCATACTTCATCTGCAATAAGCCATATTGTTTCAATTAGACCTAACATCCACATTCAAGAAAAATGAAAAGATATTTTACTTGGATTTAGTTGAATTTTTTCTTTTTTTACCTCTTTCTCTAGTCTAGATAAAACATATTTCTAAAGAAAAGCAAACTGCTTACTCTCAGAATATTAGCAAACTAGATTAATGTTTGGGAAACAGGTAAGAAAATGTCACCATGAAACTCTTATATGGTTAGTCCTGGAATAGGAGATGTATTCGTTCAAAATACGTTTTTACTATATTCCAGGCTTAAATTCCCCTAAGGCAAAGAAATTTTGTTTAACAAAGAAGGCCTATATTATGCAATCCATACAAATTCAATAAGCAAGATAGCAGTTAGTTATTCTTTCAGATTTGAGTCACCAATCGTTCGTACATTATTCTATGTATTCTATTTTGGCCAAAATAACCTCTGGCAATCATTTATAGAGCATTCAAATGAGACCTAGTCTCTCCCATTTTTAGAAACACAAACACACACACACACACATTCTCTGAATTTCAAATCCACAGTTAGTTATGTCTCCTCTCACCTTCACAGCTCCATGTTGGAAAAAGTTGTCAGTCCAATAAATGTTGCCCCCAACCTCATATCTCTCACTTGTGCCTCAACCCACTGCAGTCTACTGTTGATCCCACTTGTCAGGTGAAGATGCTCTTCTTTAGGGCCTCCACGTTGCCAAAAGCTAACAGCAGTCTTTAGTTAACATCTCAAATTAAATGTTTCATGACATCTTAAACTGATTAACTAACAAGCTCCTATGATCACCACTACCCACCAGCTTCCTTTCTGTAGTCCCATATTTTAATTACTCCTGGAGGACATCCTTGATACATAATTCTTCCTGGCCCACATAGCCAAACAGTTGGCAAGTTCTGCTATTTCCACCTCCAAATGTCTCACGTGCATCATTGTTTTCATTATCTCCTGCCTTCCACTAAGCTGACCCACTATTACCTCTCTCCCAGACAATCCATCCTCCTAAATTATCTCTCCATATCCATTCTTATCCTCATCGAAGCCATACTTTAAATAAAATAATATTTTAAGGTCCAAATTAGGTCATATTGTGTCCGGAATTGGTGGGTTCTTGGTCTCACTGACTTGAAGAATGAAGCCACGGACCCCCGCGGTGAGTGTTACAGTTCTTAAAGGCAGCACGTCCGCATGTCTGGAGTTTGTTCCTTCTGATGTTCGGATGTGTTCGGAGTTTCTTCCTTCTGGTGGGTTCGTGGTCTCGCTGGCTCAGGAGTGAAGCTGCGGACCTTCGCGGTGTGTGTTACAGCTTTTAAGGTGGCGCGTCTGGAGTTGTCCGTTCCTCCCTGTGGGTTCGTGGTGTCACTGGCTTCAGGAGTGAAGCTGCAGACCTTCGTGGTGGGTGTTACAGCTCATAAAGGCAGTGTGGACCCAAAGAGTAAGCAGCTGCAAGATTTATTGCAAAGAGCGAAAGAACAAAGCCACCACAGTGTGGAAGGGGACCCAAGTGGGTTGGCACTGCTGGCTCCAGCAGCCTGCTTTTATTCTCTTATCTGGCCCCACCCACATCCTGCTGACTGGTCCATTTTACAGAGAGCCGATTGGTCTGTTTTACAGAGCTGATTGGTCCGTTTTGACAGGGTGCTGATTGGTGCGTTTACAATCCCTGAGCTAGACACAAAAGTTCTCCACATCCCCACTAGATAAGCTGGATACAGAGTGTCCCCACAAAGGTTCTCCAAGTCCCCACCAGAGTAGCTAGATACAGAGTGTCCATTGGTGCATTCACAAACCCTGAGCTAGACACAGGGTGCTGATTGGTGTGTTTACAAACCTTGAGCTAGATACAGAGTGCCGATTGGTGTATTTACAATCCCTTAGCTAGACATAAAGGTTTTCCAAGTCCCCACCAGAGTAGCTAGATACAGAGTGTCCATTGGTGCATTCACAAACCCTGAGCTAGACACAGGGTGCTGATTGGTGTGTTTACAAACCTTGAGCTAAATACAGAGTGCCAATTGGTGTATTTACAATCCCTTTGCTACACATAAAGGTTCTCCAAGTCCCCCCCAGACTCAGGAGCCCAGCTGGCTTCACCATGCGGATCCCGCACCAGGGCTGCAGGTGGAGCTGCCTGCCAGTCCTGTGCCCTGCACCCGCACTCCTCAGCCCTTGGGTGGTCAATGGGACTGGGCGCCCTGGAGCAGGGGGCGGCGCTCCTCTAGGAGGCTCCGGCAGCACAGGAGCCCACGGCGGGGAGGGGAGGCTCAAGCATGGCAGGCTGCAGGTACCCAGCCCTGTCCCGCAGGGAGGCAGCTAAGGCCCAGCGAGAAGTCGAGCACAGCAGCTGCTGGCCCAGGTGCTAAGCCCCTCACTGCCCGGGGTGGGCGGGGCCGGCTGGCAGCTCGGAGTGTGGGGCCCACCGAGCCCACGCCCACCCGGAACTCGTGGTGGCCCGCAAGCGCCACGCGCAGCCCCAGTTCCCGCCCGTGCCTCTCCCTCCACGCCTCCCCGCAAGCTGAGGGAGCCGGCTCTGGCCTCGGCCAGCCCAGGAAGGGGCTCCCACAGTGCAGTGGCGGGCTGAAGGGCTCCTCAAGCACGGCCAGAGTGGGCGCCAAGGCCGAGGAGGCGCTGAGAGCAAGCGAGGGCTGTGAGGGCTGCCAGCACACTGTCACCTCTCAATATTAACAATTTCAAGGTTTTCAGTGACTGCCCAGTGGGATTAAGATTCTGATTATTAATCTCAACTATACGAACCTCTATGATTGGGACTGGACATGCCTGGCCATCCTTAATGTGAGTACTTTCCCCCTCACTCCCACACTCCCATCAAACTGGGTCTATGTCTTTGCCATGCATACCTTCAGACTAGAGGTACTTAATAAGCTTTTCATCCTTAAGACCACAGGTAAACACCACTTTCTTCATTTTTCCCCAACCCCCAGGACCAGTTAGGAGTATTTGTTATTCACTCCCACAGCATCCCACATTTCTCCTCTATAATACTCAGCATAACCTACTTAAGTACTTTTTGTGTGACTTTTGTTTAACTTCCATATGTTGCAGGATACTATTTTAAGATATTAGCTAATGTTTTTCCCAGGTATTTTCTGTTATGCTTTAGTCCTCCCACTTTGGACTACTAGACTATGAGGCTCTATCATCTAAAGGGAGGATTATTACGGTTGAAAAATAGGAAAACACAAGTCAAATTCTTGTCGTTAGAGTTTTAAAATCCAAGGCTTTTGAAATGAATTTATCAGTCTTCTGGTCCACCCCACCTAAGTTCAGCATCATAAAAGACTAAAGATTCAAGTGCAAAGGGAAGAATGGAGTTAAAGGAACATTCACAGTTTGGTAAGCCCTGCTCTACAATGTGAAGAGGAAGAATGGGAGGACTTCTGGGTGAGGTGGGGGAATCTGAGAGCAGAGGGTACCTATGTTCATTCCCGAGTAGAGACTGAGAGGAGGAAAGCTTCCAAGTACTTTCTCACATATGGCATGGTAGAGGGGAGAAGAGCTCCTGGTTGTGGGAGCATTTAGGCAGAGGGGTTGAATTCTTCCTTTGGACTACATAAGGATATAGAAATGGATTAGAAAGAGTTGAGGCCACATTCACTTCAATTGGGAGAGAAGACATCTCAGCAGATAGTCACATAGACAGGTAATGACATGATACTGGCACCAGACAATTCCTCCTGCCCCAAAGCCTTAACATGCTAAAGGCACATAGCACTTAGGGAAAAATGCTAGAAATAACATTTATTTTCCAATACCTGGCAGAATTAAGATTTTAAGTAGATAATGTGTTATTCAGAAATTGGGTGTGCCAGTCTCTAGAAATAGAGATTAGACATCACAGTTTCTTAAATAGCATAGCATTTCAGCCCTCCAATACTAGAATTCCTGAGGTCAGCAATCCAAGGATGGCATGGCAACTTCCCTTTCATCAATGACCCACACCCTACTTAGAAGTGACTTCCGGGCCGGGCACGGTGTCTCACGCCTGTAATCCCAGCACTTTGGGGGGCCAAGGCGGGTGGATTGCCTGAGCTCAGGAGTTCGAGATCAGCCTGGACAACATGGTGAAACCCCGTCACTACTAAAATACAAAAAAATTAGCAGGGTGTGGTGGCGTGCGCCTGTAATCCCAACTACTTGGGAGGTTGAGGCAGGAGAATCACTTGAAATCAGGAGGCAGAGGTTGCAGTGAGCTGAGATCCTGCTATTGCACTCCAGCCTGGGTGACAGAGCGAGACTTCGTCTCAAAAACAAAAAAAAAAAAAAAAAAGAAGTGACTTCCATCTCTAAGTGTTCCTCATGATCTAAGATGGCTGCCAGGGTTAAGGCTTAAGACTTAACAAAGGAGAAAAAGACAAAGAACGGCCCATGCCAGCTGTTTACCATACAAAGTCTTCCTAGAAGTCCTGCAAACCAACTTTCTCTTACATATCTTTCGCAACCTCTAGCTGCAAAAGAGGGAGGGCAGTGTGATCTTTCAGCTGGTTCTGCTACTAAGGAGGAAAGTGAGAATGGATCCTTAGACGATAATTTAATTCTTAGGAGGAAAACAAGAAGGTAAAAAGTGTGCATGTAGGTTTGTGAGCTAAGATTCACATGCCCAGTTGGTCTCCCCTGATAGTAAGCTTAGAGAAAAACAGGGTGTATTTCTCTGTTAACAATTATATCCAAACATTTAGTTCAATACTTCTACTTAGTAAGCAATCAATATATGCTGAATGAATAAATATAATAATTAATGAAGAAGAAATGGATAACTGAGTACTTGTGACCTTCCACCACTCAGCTTCACTTAGAGTTTGTTTTATCACAGTGCAACAGCCTTTAGTGCTACTTAGTGAGTATTTCTGGAGAGCTCTATGTCTGGGTACATGGTAAGATTGTATATCCATCATTCCTTGTGTCTGGGTGAAGCCACGTAATTGTGGCCAATGAGTGGGAGCACAAGAGACGTGTATCTTTTGGGCCCAAGGATGGAACTGCCAACATGAGATCCGCTAGAGCTTTCGTTCCTACTGCCACAGCAACCAACAACGTCTAAGCTGGAGGTTTCTCCATTAGCCTGGGACTCTGAGAAAGGTGACATGAAGCAGATGATCTGCAGTAAATGGCATCAGCAAGATCATATCCCCTGGATTCACAGACTTACTTTCTTCATCATACAAATGCAAACTCTTAACATAGTCAACTGAGGAGACATTTCACGTGCTATGAACACATTGAATTTATATTTTAGATCCACAATCAACTTGACTTCTGAAACAGTTGACTTTTAAAAGTCAGGGTAAAAATAATCACTTTGATATAATTATCATAATAAATCCAGTGTGAATAAAAATAGAATACATAGGGCAAAATATAATTTCAAGAAAAACCATTGCCTTAATATTTTAAAGAATACAGAAATAAAAATGTTTAAAAATTGTAAGTAGTTACATTTGAATCTGGGTAAATAATAGCATTATAACAAGTGGTACAATTAAAAGAGGTCTTCTTTAATCCCTGTTGCTACATATAAATTAGTCATATGTAATATGTGTCACATGTAACTGTACAATATAAATATTAAAGAATACAATATAAAAACATGCATGTTTTTAAGAGAAAAATCTCACTGTGGTAGCTTTAAAGTATACAAATCTGGCTAATTGATTTTATTTCTTATTTTTTGAATCAATAATTAAATATAGATTTTGAAAATTGATTAAAAGCTATGATATATTTCTACTCTGAAATTTTGTGGACCATAAAAATTAAATGTAACTTGGTTAATACCAAGCAGTTTTCTTTTTCACAAATAGTATAATTGAAGCCTCTATTCTAAAATATCAGAAAATCATTATAAAGCAATATTTAGTTTCTTCCAAACAGGGCAGTTTTAGTTGCTTTTAACCACTTTTTCCCAACATACAACTTCTGGTTATTAGGTAATATGACTTGAATCCTCTGCATGGTAATACTTCCAACTGGACACTTGAGGTGTGTTTGAGATATAGCACCCTTTTCTGGAAAAGCTGATTATTCTCCATGAAAATGAAAAAGATGTTACATTGACGTCTGTTGCTTCAAATGAATAATAGATAAATTAACTACCTAGGCAAGAAGAGTAAATGGAAATAATTGGGCATCTCTTTTCTTGTAATTTAATCTTATAACATCTCTGTAGATAGTGTCATCTGAATGTAGATTGAAGCTAAACTTGTTAAGGCTTTTGAAATTCAGGGTTTATATACTACTTTGTTCTCCAGTATATTTCTAAATTTCATAAATAACTTGAGAGGCCTACTAACATCACTTTCTTAACAAAAGCAGAGAAAAATCTAAGAGTTTAGTGGGGGAATGTAGGCAGTAAGAGGATAACACTGAAAATTAAGATATGAATTTAAAAGATTTTTAGATACTTTCCAGCATTTTTTTGATCCTATGACACTGAATATTTGCATCATGTTGAAGATTATAGACTGAATCTTCTACATAATAATTCCAGAAAAAACAAGAATCAAACATTGTCAGATCAGCCCACTGGCAATTCCAATACCCAGGTGTACAAACCTCATTTACTTTTACTTTAAGAATGGCCTTTCTCTTGAATTAAATGATGATGCAATTTGAATAAGGTACCCAAATCATCACCATTCTAGCTCACATAATGTGTCTTTTTAAAGAATCATAATGAGTCACCAATGACACAATACCAGAAAGGCTATTTGGTTCAGAAATCATATGCTCAACCAGACCATGAAAAAAGTGATTGTAGGTATGGCATATGCTTAACAAACCATGGAACACCAGCTGGGCTCTGCTTCCTTCAGGAAGCTCCAGCTGGGTAGTGGTATGGCATCCTTCCAATGGCAACAGTTTCCTTTAGGCCTCCACAGAGTCGGAAGAGTTTGGGCCCCTCCTGGTTCATTAGATCCACATGGTCATCATACAGATATTGTGGGTAGAAGCTGAGGGTGAGCCTAGCCTGATGTTACCCCACAGGCTAGTTCTTTGTCTGTCTTTTAAGTCAACCCATTCCCACAGCCAGTTTGCAGATTCCTGGTCACTCTGACTTTAACTTTGTTTTTGATGACAAAATATTCAGGTTCCACAACTATTCAGAGTCTACCCTGTGCCTCTTTTGACCTTAGGTAACTTAAATCTATTCCCTTATTTCCTTCCTTACCCTCTTTTTAAAAAAAAAGAAAAAGAAAAACTTAATGGAACATTGAATTTTCTTTATTGCAAATTCTTAGGGTTTCTGTCAAAAGAGATTTGAAATACAACATGAAATGATGTACTCACATCCCTCACCACCATCTCCAAATAACTGAATTACATAAATAAAACATTATATGAAAAGTGCTTTGCTACAATTTATGGGAGGTAAATTTAAGAAGAGCTGGCTCATTGTAGGAAAATTCAACTTATCTTTTCCTGATCCTTTTATTTAATACAGGGAGAGAAATTTATGGCAGTTAAAAAAATCTATTACTGTTTCTCATAACTGAATCCATTATTTTTCTCCATGATCCATCAGGTAAAAACAAGAATAATAGATTGCTTTGACAGAACCTTGAACATAAATGTCCCCAAGAATCAAACACAGTAAGTTAAACGGGTATCAGGTGGTATTAAAACAGGAAAGGATAAACTTCTTTTCATATTTCAAAATCAGATCTTACTTAAAAATTTATTATTATTAGCTACCAAAAAGAAACAAACTATATAGTGGCTGAATTTGCATATTGAAATGGGAATATTTCTATTCATTTCTATATGTGCGCAAGAAAAATTAAACATGAAATGAATTCAAAGAAAAGGAACTATTTTCTTTCCATTTATGCTAACTGGTTATTTATAATTTACTCCTTGATTGCATTAGACTAGATGACTTTAAATAAACAAGTTGTTCTATACACAGTCAACTAATTTGAAAGATTAGTGTTGATCTTATCTTAGAAATACTGTTTATAAAGGAATCAAGGGGTTCTATAATCTTTAGCTTCACATGACCCATTTAATTTCAAGGTCATCAGGAAAGTTTGGGTATATATGCACACATCTGCCTGGAATACACACACACACACACCATATAAACACACAAAAAAATAAATATATACACACTCAACATACCCGCATGTATATATTTAGAGAGAGAGAAAGGAGGGAGATGAGGTGATGATGATGATAGATGGGTGGATAGATAAATACAGAGATAGATAATTCTAACCGTTAATTCACCTCAGGGAATGTTCTCCTTAATGAACACCTCTCCAGCATCTCATATTCTCTGCTTTTATTCAGATAAGCCAACCTCTCAACTTGTCTCTGAGGAAGGTGACCACATTCCCAGATTCAGAGTCAGAACTTATTTTAATCCAATCAGCACATAACATTCACATTAAGCCTATTTTTGGTCCATGGCTGGGCATAGGACCCAAGTTTGCTGGAACACAAAAATGAAAATAATTTTTAATCCAAGCTTGGGATAGAGATTTCCCATTTTCTCTTGCCAGATGAGGAGAAGAGAACGCGGAACCCCAGTTTTGCCATTGATAGCCATCTGTGACCCTGGGAAGGAGGGCAATGCTGATGGCAGAGGGAGGCTTGGAAAGGACATGGGTCTTCGTTCACATTGAACTGCTAATGATATTGTGCCTGGAGCCCTCCCTACTTCCTGTCTCCCAGTTAAAAGAGTTTACAAATTTACTTCTTGTTTAATCTACTTTGAATTTGGGTTTCTGTAACTGTTTAGATAGGCGCTTCTCCTTTAAAGAAAGGCATGAGAATATACTCAAAATATTCTGCTTTCTCATGGCTTGTTTCATTCCTATTGCTTTACACTGGAAGATCTTTGAATATATATTTGATTTTGAAACCATCTTGGAAAAGTCTACCTAGTTATCTAATGAGACAGATAATTTGATACATGCATTGTTTAAAAAAACAATAACTTTGTTACAAAGTTTAATTCAAACTTAAGATGAGTAAAAACCCTCTTATCCTACCAGACCAAAAAAAAAAAAAAACTTTCATAACCAAGTTTGGACATTATTCCTAGCCTCTAGTTCTGAAATAGAGTTTGACCTATTTTGTAGTCCATTTAAAACTCTGGTCTGATTGCTGGCAAGATGGCCAAATAGGAACAGCTCTGGTCTGCAGCTCCCAGTGAGATCAACGCAGAAGGCGGGTGATTTCTGCATTTCCAACTGAGGTACCCAGTTCATATCAGTGGGACTGGTTGGACAGTGGGTGCAGCCCATGGAGGGCCAGCTGAAACAGGGTGGGGTGTCACCTCACCCAGGAAGCACAAGGGGTCAGGGAACTACCTCCTCTACCCAAGGGAAGCCATGAGGGACTGTACCTGAGGAACGGTGCACTCCAGCCCAGATACTGCACTTTTCCCATGGTCTTTGAAACCTGCAGACCAGGAGATTCCCTCCGGTGCCTACGCCACTGGGGCCCTGGGTGTCAAGCACAAAACTGGGCAGCCATTTGGGCAGACACTGAACTAGCTGCAGGAGTTTTATTTTCCATACCCCAGTGGTGCCTGGAATGCCAGCAAGGCAGAACCATTCACTCCCCTGGAAGGGGGGCTGAAGCCAGGGAGCCAAGTGGTCTAGCTTGGCGGGTCCCACCCCCACGGAGCCCAGCAAGCTAAGATTCACTGGCTTGAAATCCTCATTGCAAGCACAGCAGTCTGAGGTCGACCTGGGACACTCGAGCTTGGAGGGAGGAGGGCCGTCTGCCATTGCTGAAGCTTGAGTAGGCATTTTACCCTCACAGTCTAAACAAAGCTGCCTGGGAGTTCGAATTGGGTAGAGCCCACCACCTCAGCTCAGCAAGGCCACTCTGGCCAGACTGCCTCTCTAGATTCCTCCTCTCTGGGCAGGGCAACTCTAAAAAAAAGGCAGTCAGGGACTAATAGATAAAACCCCATCTCCCTGGGACAGAGCACCTGTGGGAAGGGGTGGATATGGGAGCAGCTTCAGCAGACTTAAATATCTCTGCCGGACAGCTCTGAAGAGAGTAGTGGATTTCCCAGCACAGTGCTCGAGCTCTGGTAAGAGTCAGACTGCCTCCTCAAGTGGGTCCCTGACCCTCGTTTATCCTGATTGGGAGATATCTCCCAGTAGGGGCCAACAGACACCTCATACAGGAGAGCTCTGGCTGGCATCCAGTGGGTGCCCCTCTGGGACGAAGCTTCCAGAGGAAAGAACAGGCAGCAATCTTTGCTGTTCTGCAGCCTCCACTCGTGACACCAAGGCAAACAGCATCTGGAGTGGACCTCCAGCAAACTCCAGCAGACCTGCAGCAGAGGGCACTAACTCTTAGAAGGAAAACTAACAAACAGAAAGGAATAGTATGTCCACTCAGAGACCCCATCCGAACATCAGCAGGATCAAAGACCAAAAGTAGATAAATCCAGGAAGATGAGGAGAAACCAGCGCAAAACAGCTGAAAATTCAAAAAAACAGAATGCCTCTTCTCCTCCAAAGGATCACAACTCCTTGCCAGCAAGGGAATAAAACTGGATGGAGAATGAGTTTGACGGATGGATAGAAGTAGGCCTCAGAAGGTGGGTAATAACAAACTCCTCCAAGCTAAAGGAGCATGTTCTAACCCAATGCAAGGAAGTTAAGAACACTGTAAAAAGATTAGAGGAATTGCTAACTAGAATAACAAGTATAGAGAAGCACATAAATGACCTGATGGAGCTGAAAAATACAGCATGAGAACTTCATGAAGCATACACAATTATCAATAGCCAAGTCGATAAAGCACAAGAAAGGATATCAAAGATTGAAGATCAACTTAATGAAATAAAGGAGAAGACAAGATTAGAGAAAAAAGAGTGAAAAGGAACTAACAAAGCCTCCAAGAAATATGGGATTATGTGAAAACACCAAGTCTACGTTTGATTGGTGTACCTGAAAGTGACGGGGAGAATGGAACCAAGTTGGAAAACACTCCTCAGGATATTATCCAGGAGAACATCCCCAACCTAGCAAGACAGGTCAACATTCAAATTAAGGAAATACAGAGAACGCCACAAAGATACTCCTCGAGCAGAGCAACCCCAAGACATATAATCGTCATATTCACCAAGGTTGAAATGAAGGAAAAAATGTTAAGGGCAGCCAGAGAGAAAGGTCAGGTTAGCCACAAAGGGAAGCCCATCAGACTAACAGAGGATCTCTCTGCAGACACCTTACAAGCCAGAATAGAGTAGGGGCCAATATTCAACATTCTTAAAGAAAAGAATTTTCAACCCAGAATTTCATATCCAACCAAACTCAGTTTCATAAGCGAAGGAGAAATAAAATCCTTTACAGACAAGCAAATGCTGAGAGATTTTGTTACCACCAGGCCTGCCCTAAAAGAGCTCCTGAAGGAAGCACTAAACATAGAGAGGAACAATCAATACCAGCCACTGCAAAAACATACCAAATTGTAAAGATCATCGAGGATACGAAGAACCTGCATCAACTTTCGGGCAAAATAACCAGCTAGCATCATATGACAGAATCAAATTCACACATAACAATACTAACCTTAAATGTAAACAGGCTGAATGCCCCAAGTAAAAGACAGAATGGCAAATTGGATAAAGACTCAAGACCCATCAGTGTGCTGTATTCAGGAGACCCATCTCACATGCAAAGAGACACACAGGCTCAAGATAAAGGGATGGAGGAATATTTACGAAGCAAACGGAAAGCAGAAAAAAAAAGCAGGGGTTGCAATCCTAGTCTCTGATAAAACAGACTTTAAATCAACAAAGATCAAAAGAGACAAAGAAGGGCATTACATAATGGTAAACAGATCAATGCAACAAGAATAGCTAACTATCCTAAATATATATACACCCAATACAGAAGCACCCAGATTCATAAAGCAAGTTCTTAGAGAACTACAAAGAGACTTAGACTCCCACACAATAATAGTGGGAAATTTTAACAGCCTGCTGTCAATATTAGACAGATAAATGAGACAGAAAATTAACAAAGATATTCAGAACTTGAACTCAGCTCTGGACCAAGTGGACCTAACAGACATCTACAGAATTCTCTACCCCAAATCAACAGAATATACATTCTTCTCAGCACCTCATCGCACTTATTCTAAAAGTGATCACATAATTGGAAGTAAAACACTCCTCAGCAAATGCAAAAGAACGGAAGTCATAACAAACAGTCTCTAAGACCACAGTGCAATCAAATTAGAACTCAGGATTAAAACTGACAGAAAACCTAACAACTACTTGGAAACTGAACAACCTGCTCCTGAATGACTACTGGGTAAATAATAAAATTAAGGTAGAAATAAAGTTGTTCATTGAAACCAATGAGAACAAAAACACAACATACCAGAATCTCTGGGACACATTTAAAGCAGTGTGTAGAGGGAAATTTATAGCACCAACTGCCCACAAGAGGAATCAGGAAAGAACTAAAATCTATACCCTAATATCACAATTAAAAGTACTAGAGAAGCAAGAGCAAACAAATTCAAAAGCTAGCAGAAGACAAGAAATAACTAAGATCAGAACAGAACTGAAGGTGATAGAGACATGAAAAACCTTTCAAAAAATCAATGAATCCAGGATCTGATTTTTTGAAAAGATCAACAAAATAGAATGCTAGCCAGACTAATAAAGAAGAAAAGAGAGCAGAATCAAATAGACACAATAAAAAATGATAAAGCGGAGATCACCACTGATCCCACAGAAATACAAAATACCATCAGAGATTACTATAAATACCTCTAAGCAAATAAACTAGAAAATCTAGAAGAAATGGGTAAATTCCTGCAAACATACACCCTCCCAAGTCTAAACCAGGAAGAAGATGAATCCCTAAATAGACCAATAACAAGTTCTGAAATTGAGGCAGTAATTAATAGCCTACCAACCAAAAAAAGTCCAGGACCAGATAGATTCACAGCCGAATTCTACCAGAGGTACAAAGAGGTACAAAGCTAGTACTATTCTTTCTGAAACTATTCCAAACAATAGGAAAAGAGGGACTCCTCCCTAACTCATTTTATGAGGCCAGCATCATCCTGAAACCAAAACCTGGCAGAGACACAACAAAAAAAAAAAAAGAGAGAAAATTTCAGGCCAGTATCCCTGACGAACATCCATGCAAAAATCCTCAATAAAATACTGGCAAACTGAGTGCAGCAGCACATCAAAAAGCTTATCCACCACGATCAAGTTGGCTTCATCCCTGAGACACAAGGCTGGTTCAACATACGCAAATCAATAAACACAATCCATCACATAAACAGAACCAATGACAAAAACCACATGATGATCTCAATAGATGCAGAAAATTTGATAAAATTCAACACCCCTTCATACTAAAAACTCTCAATAAACTAGGTATTGATGGAACGTAGCTCAAAAAAAATGACAGATTTAAGACAAAACCACAGCCAATATCATACTGAATGGGTAAACCTGGAAGCATTCCCTTTGAAAGCTGGCACAAGACAAGGATGCCCCCTCTCACCACTCCTGTTCAAAATAGTATTGAAAGTTCTGGCCAGGGCAATCAGGCAAGAGAAAGAAATAAAGGGTATTCAAATAGGAAAACAGGAAGTAAAATTGTCTCTGTTTGCAGATGATATGAATTGTATATATAGGGAACCCCACCATCTCAGCCCAAAATCTCCTTAAGCTGATAAGCAACTTCAGCAAAGTCTCAGGATACAAAATCAATGTGCAAAAATCACACACATTCCTATACACCAATAACAAACAGAGAGCCAAATCATGAGTGAACTCCCATTCACAATTGCTACAAAGAGAATGAAATATCTAGGATTACAACTTACAAGGGATGCAAAGGACCTCTTCAAGGAGAACTACAAACCACTGCTCAAGGAAATAAGAGAGGACACAAATAAATGGAAAAACATTCCATGCTCATGGATAGGAAGAATCAATATCGTGAAAATGGCCATATTGCCCAAGGCAATTTATATATTCAGTGCTATCCCCATCAAACTACCATTGACTTTCTTCACAGAATTGGAAAAAACTACTTTAAACTTCATATGGAATCAAAAAAGAGCCCGCATAGCCAAGACAATTCTAAGCAAAAAGAACAAAGTTATAGGCATCATGCTACCTGACTTCAAACTATACTACAAGGCTACAGTAAACAAAACAGCATGGTAGTGGTACCAAAACAGATATCTAGACCAACAGAACAGAACAGAGGCCTCAGAAATAACACCACACATCTACAACCATCTGATCTTTGACAAACCTTACAAAAACAACCAATGGGGAAAGGATTCCCTATTTAATAAATGGTGTTGGGAAAACTAGCTAGCCATATGCAGAAAACTGAAACTGGACCCCTTCCTTACACCTATACAAAAATTAACTCAAGATGGATTAAAGACTTAAATGTAAGACCTAAAACCATAAAAACCCTAGAAGAAAACCTAGGCAACACCATTCAGGACATAGGCATTGGAAAAGACATCATGACTAAAACACAAAAACCAATGGCAACAAAAGCCCAAATTGAGAAATGGGATCTAATTAAACTAAAGAGCTTCTAGACAGCAAAAGAAACTATCATCAGAGTGAACAGGCAACCTACAGAATGGGAGAAAATTTTTGCAAGCTATCCATCTGACAAAGGGCTAATACCAAGAATCTACAAGGAACATAAACAAATTTAAAAGAAAAAAACAAACAACCCCATCAAAAAGTGGGCGAAGGATTTGAACAGACACATTTCAAAAGAAGATATTTATGCAGCCAACAGACATATGAAAAAAAGCTCATCATCTGATCATTAGAGAAATCCAAATCAAAACCACAATGAGATACCATCTCACACCAGTTAGAATGGTGATCATTAAAAAGTCAGGAAACAACAGGATGCTGTTTTGGATGCCAAAGAGGATGTGGAGAAATAGGAACACATTTACACTTTTACTCTGTTGGTGGGAGTATAAATTAGTTCAACCATTGTGGAGGACAGTGTAGCAATTCCTCAAGGATCTAGAACTAGAAATACCATTTGACTCAGCGATCCCATTACTGGGTATGTACCTAAAGGCTTATAAATCATTCTGCTATAAAGACACATGCATGTTTATTGTGGCACTATTCACAATAGCAAAGACTTGGAACCAACCCAAATGCCCATCAACGATAGACTGGATAAAGAAAATGTGGCACATAGACACTATGGAATACTATGCAGCCATAAAAAAGGATGAGTTCATGTCCTTCACAGGGACATGGATAAAGCTGGAAACCATCATTCTTAACAAACTAACACAAGAACAAAAAACCAAACACAGCATGTTCTCACTCATAAGTGGGAGCTGAACAATGAGAACATATGGACACAAGGAGGGGAACATCACATACTGGGGCCTGTCAGGGGATGGAGGGCTAGGGGAGGAACAGCACTAGGAGAAATGCCTAATGTAGACGACGGGTTGATGGGTGCAGCAAACCACCATGGCACTTGTACACCTATGTAACAAAACTGCACATTCTGCACATGCACCCCAGAACTTAAACTATAATAAAAAGTAAAAAATAAAAAATAAATAAAACTCTGATCTGTAGGCCAAAGGGTACTTCTTTTTCTTTATTAATTACTCAGAAGTCTAGGCCACAGCAATCCTACTGTTCTCCTCTCATTTTCCTAAACTATTTTGATACCTATTTCTCAGACTTTATGGGCTATTAGACATTTCTCACATTTCCATAGATAATAACTCATCCGTTTTGCAACCTGATTCTCAATATTAAGAGATTAAAACTAATGTATATGACTCTCAGTTGACACATACTGAAGTACAGAAAAATTCCATCATTTCCTTCTGCAAAATGAAAAAGACTTCGTTTTCTCAACAGCTGCATCATTTTTTTATGCATAGAAAAAAATGTGCAATTACTCCAAGTACAATCAAGTCATTTAACATGGCTTTACCATCATTGTAGTTACAGGATATTTTAAAAGAGAAAAAAAAATCTCAAAGCACAGGTCCTGCTGTGCAGCAAAGCAATCAAATTCCTTCATAATAACAGCCTGATGGGATTCAGCAATCTGAGGAATAATGAATAACCACTCTAATCAGTAAACAGGAAAATGCTACAACAGTCACTGAGTAAAAATTGGACTATCATCTGTTGATTCTCTTGATCGACATTTCAAACAATAAATGGAAATGTAAGTATCTCTTAAAAAGAAAAATAACTTGGTTTAGTGTGCTTAATTTTACCAGGCAGTGAGGAAATTATATATCACCTTGACTGTCCTGCAGTGTTGCCCAGTCAATAAAATGCACAAATAATCTTTTTCATAATACATGGCCAACTTTATCCTATCACTTGAATATGTCAGGATAAACTGATTGTGCAGTTGGTTGATAACATTGTATTTTGGAATGGATTATTTGAATTTGTTTTGCTACTTTATTATTTGATATTCTTCTCCAGTGTTCATCTTATGAAGTTATTTGCATCTGAATATGAAGAGTCTGTTTCAAAATAGTCTTCAAGTTTCCAACGCAGTGTCTCAAATGTAGGTCGTTCCTTAGGCTCTGCATTCCAGCACTCCAACATGATGTTGTAAAATTGCTGTGGACAGTTGGATGGTTGCGGAAGTCTATAGTTTTGAGCCAACATCTGGATTACCTGGGCACCTGTCATACCTTGAAAATACAGAACGAAACCAACAACAACAAAAAAAACAAGTTAAAGGTCAGAGTCTTAAACTTATAGCCATTTATACTCTAGGTTACTAAGTAAGTCAATTTCTTTGGCAAAGATTTAAGGTCTGCCATCCCCTTCTCAGGTTACACAGATTAAACTAAATCCTGCAGCAAGTGATGTCTATAAGACTGCAATTCACTAGCAAAGGAGAGGGAAGCAATAAACCACCTCATTAATGCAAATTATCATCATCAAATTTTATCTATCAAGCTCCCGCAGGTATGGTATGGTCAGCCTCATAACTCTGCCCTCTAAGTCTGGGCAAAGCAGTTAAAATCACACCTAAGTAAGTGACATGCAGCAGAAAGGTCCACTTCAGAATTAATTACTCACCACTGTAAGGCATTTTGCCATAAGTAATGATTTCATAAAGAAGGATTCCAAATGACCATACATCGGACTTAATGCTGAATTTATTACTACGAATGGCTTCGGGCGCAGTCCACTTCACCGGCAGCTTTATTTCGTGTCTAGATTCATAGATGTCTTCATTATCTACCTGTTCATGTATTAAGGAATCAGGCCGAGTTAAAGCAATTTTTTTTTTTTTGCTAACCTCATTCATCTATAATCTGCTTCACTTCAAAATTTAGAGAGAAAAGATTCAAAATGAGCTTAGTTCAACTGACAATTACAGTAGCAAATTCTGAATCTTGCATACAAGACTGAAAAATATGTGGGAAGTCATTAATAAAATATTATTTAAGAGCCTACTATGTGCCAAGAATAGCACTGAAAGAAACATTCTACTACATTTGGAGAATTAATACATGATGATTCTGGCTTCACATCTGGTCTTGAGCAAAAAAAAAAAAAAAAAAAGGAAGCAAAGTCTATTGTTTGATTTACTGATGATATTGAAAAGCCACTGACTTTGATAATTACCATGTAACCACTTGCTAATAATGAAAAGTAGGATCCAAGTGTTTTAAATTAATATATAAACTCACTGGGGTACTAATTAATTTACAAAAAGAAAAAAATGATGAATTCATGAAGATTAAAAGGGAATCATTTATTTGTTGTTTTATGCCCTATGTCCATATTTTTAGGGTACAATGTGGAAATGTAAAATTAATTTAAGAGAAAAGCACCTAATATTATATCTCCTATATAGTATCTTTCAGACTGAGGTAAAAATGGGGAAATCAAAAAGCCAATGATTGCTGAAGAATTCTGGCAGCATGCAAATTAATCTGGCATACAGTGAGTAATAGTGGTTTAGGTTAACACTGCACAAAGTGTACTGCTTTTGTAAAGGAAATAGAGGCAAACAGAGGTGACTGGTACTAACTGAAAAATAGATCATTAATTCAACTATAAACTTAAGTACATACTTTCCAATCTGGTTGGTCATTGTTTTCTTTATTTTGTTTCTCCTTGATTAAGAAATAGGAAGGTGCAGGTAGTTTGTAAGGCTTTGGACTACTGAAGTAGTTTATGGACTACAGAACTTGGAGAAACATTGTTTTAAAGAATAACAGTATATCTATTGGTCTACTAACTGTTAGACTTTTGACCTATTACAAAAACTAATTAAAACAAAACTAAATCCACCTTAAAAACTCTGGCAAGTCCAAAATCTGCTACTTTGTAGATATTATGTTCACCAACGAGGACATTTCTGGCAGCCAGATCTCTGTGAATGTAGTTCCGAGACTCCAGATAGGCCATTCCAGAGGCAACCTGTGCCGCCATGTCTACCTGTTGAGTCAGATGGATTTTTGATCCAGTGTCATCTAAGTAATAAGAGAAAAGTAAGAAAGTTACCTTAGAGAACATTTGAACTATGAAAGTGAATTCTGAGAATTTTGAATGTATGAGCTATCAGTGAGATTAAGTACAATGGCACTGATCTGTTGAGCAAAATATATATATTTATCATTAATACAACTTAATTTGCTGTGAAAGGTTAATAAGGCAAGGCCCTCTCTTCCTTGAATGAGTATTACAAGTAACAAGTCATCACATGATCCAAACGTGGCTGCAATTATCTGAGAGTCTGGCTATTCTGCCTTTTTTCTTTTTTAAAAAATTTATTTATCTTTTATTTTAAGTTCAGGGGTACATTTCCAGGTTTGTTATATAGGTAAACTTGTGTCATGGGGGGGTTATTGCACAGATTATTTCATCACCTAGGTATTAAGCCTAGTACCCATTAGTTATTTTTCCTGATCCTTTCCTTCCTCCCTACCTTCACCCTCTCATAGGACCCAGTATATGTTGTTCCCCTCTATGTGGGTGAACATAGCTCCCACTTATAAGTGAGAACATGTGGTATTTGCTTTTCTGTTCCTGCATTAGTTTGCTAAGGATAATGGCCTCCAGCTCCATCCATGTTGCTGCAAAGGACATGATTTCATTTTTTATGGCTGCATAGTATTCCATGGTGTATACATACCACATTTTCTTTATCCATTCTACCATTGATGGGCATTTAGGTTAATTCCATGTCTTTGCTATTGTGAATGGTGCTGCAAGAAACATACATGTGCATGTGTCTTTATAATAAAATAATTTATATTCCTTTGGTTATATATCCAGTAATGGGATTGCTGGTCAAATGGTAGGTCTGTTTTGAGATATTTGAGGAATGGCTGCACTGTCTTCCACAATGGTTGAACTAATGTACACTCCTACGAACAGTGTACAAGTGTTCCTTTCTCTCCACAACCTTGCCAGCATCTGTTATTTTTTTACTTTTTAATAATGGCCATTCTGGCTGGTGAGAGATGGTATCTCATTGTGGTTTTGATTTGCATTTGTCTACTGATAAGTGCTGTTGAGCTTTTTGTTCACATGATTTCAATACCACATGTCACTGACTAATTTCTTCATGGAAATTATTACTCAACTGCTACTGAATTTCTTTCAAGCACTGCATAATTTGTTTTAGTCATTGAGCCTATAAAACAATACTAACTTTTATGGCTGAGCCAATGAAAAATTCTCATTCTTCCATCATGTTGTTTTTAAAAACTAGCCCACTAACACAAATGAAAGGTCTATCCATAGTTATAAAGTATGAATATTACATTTGTACCACCAAGCTTGATACATTATTTTATTTCTCTGCCTTAGTCTGTTATTCTTAGAATAGGTTGCTCATCTCTCCAGACATGCACATACCTTCAATAGGCAAAGTTTCTCCCACTACTAATTCTTTATAACTAAGTATAAAAAATTTATATAGTACAATCAGTTTGATTGTTGTTAGTAGAGGGGGGTCAGCATTATTTTGTGGTGACTGACTCATTTGTATTTGTATTTGACTTACCTATTTTATATTTGTACACAAAATAATACTGACTCCTTCTACTTTGAAATGGGGTGAGTCATCCCTGGATAGGATTTAGCTGCCATACTGTTGACAGATGTTTTTAGATGTCTGGAGAATTAAAAGAATCTCACATCAACTCAAACTAATATTACTCTTATATATCCCCGTCTCAATAAGCTGAATACTACATAAATTCCATTAGACTCATGGTCAAAAGCTTAGACACAAGCCCTGACTTGAGAGGCAGCTATATACATTACAGGGGCCAGGAAACCTGGTTTGAAGCTAGAGGGCCAGACTTTAAATCAAGGATATGCCTGATATTTCTTTGTGACCTTGGGCAAGCAGCTTAACATTCCTATGCCTCAGTTTCCTCATCTGTACAATGATAATAGTAACTACTTTATGGTATTCGTTGTTAAAATGAGAATTAAAATGAATTAATTCATGTAAAGCACTTAAAGCAGTGCCTGGCACCTAGAAAGAACTCAATAAATCCTATCTATTATTATCATTGCTCCTATCTAATCAAGATAAAACATGGAACTTGCTAAGCTAGAGATACACATGAATTACCTATGTGGAAATGACTGAAGGAAGACAAGCTATGGGTCTGGAACTCAGGGGAGAATATGCAGCAAGAGATATAGATTTAACGATCATAAGTTACAAGTGGGAGTTAAAACAGTAAAAGTGGGTGAGATTGCTAGGAAATGACAGAGAAACACCAATATTGAGGGTGGGCAGAGGAAGATAAACCTACAAGAAAACCGTGAAGAATCAGCCAGAAGAATATGAGAAGAAAACCACTGGAGAAACTTGTAACAAGTCAAAGGTTTTGAGAAACAGAAAATGCCATCATAGTCAAATTCTACAAGTAAGTCCATGAAGAAAAGGACTAAGACATTTGTCGAATATAATAAGGGAGTCCCTGGTGATTTTGGGGATAGGAAGAGCAGTTTGACTGGAGATCAGGTATAAGGATTTGAGGGCTAAATATGAGTGGAGGGCATGGGGACAGAAGGAGGTGGTGGCAAATTCCAAAATCCTAATCAAGAAGGAAGACAAGAAGGTTCTGGTAGAGGTAAACATAAAGTAATGGGAAAGCAGTTATCATAAAATTTGGGATAGTGTGGGGTTGTAATTGACAAAGTATTCAGGGGGTTTCTAGGGTGCTGGCCACATTCTAATGCTTGATCTGGGCAGTGACTGAATGGTTGCTTATTTGTTTGCTTTATAATTACATGTTAAACAATATTGTATAATTATGTGTTTTCTATATATATGATATTTTTAATAAAAAATGAAATAAATAGAGTCAAAAGAATTTTTTAAGGGAAAGACTTAAACAGTGTGTGTGTGTGTGTGTGTGTGTGTGTGTGTGTGTACACATATATATTTACTTTTTTAAGGCAAGTAGCATATCTCAATAAGATGTGAGGTGAAATTAACTCCTTGCCAATCCTTTTGTCCTTTCTTTTTTCCCTGAGCACGCACAGAAGATTACATTTTCCATCTTCCCTTAGAGTTGAGCCCTGTCACTAGTTCTGGGCAATGCAATGTGTGCAAAAACGATGAACATCACTTACAAGCCTGGCTCTTAAAATCTCCCACATCTTTATGGCTAGAGGGATGCATTTCAAAATGGTAGAGCCACATGAGTCTAAATCCCTGTATTACCCTTTAGAGAAAGCCACCTAGCAGAGCAGTCTGGCCCATATCAAAAAAAAAGTCTATTGTTTTGTATTAAGTCATAGAGAGTTTTGAATTCTATATTATAGCAGCTGACATTATTCAGTCTAAAACAAGATGTAAGCATGAAAATAAATAGTATGCAGCATAATGGCAAAACATTGCTGCTATGATAGCCAAAATAGCTAGGCCTTTTGATATCAAATTCACTCAATAAGAAAGGAAATGTATGGAAATTAAGACAAGGTGGTTACTAACCGTGAGCTATGTGGTATCTTCTAAAATGGCTCCCAGTTACCAGTACCTCCTGATATTCAAGCCCTTGTGAAAGCCTCTTCTACTAATTGTGGCCTGGACCTAGTGACTCATGTTTAACAACAGAATATGGCAGAAGTAGGTGGGATATCACTTCCAAGATTAAATTATAAGAGGCTGTGACTTTGCCTTACAGATAATCTCCACCCTGTTGTTCTCTCGCTTGCTCACTCTAATAAAGCAAGCTGCTATGTTGCAAGCTGCCCAGTGGAAAGGTCCCTCTAGCAAGGAGCAAAGGGCATCTTGCAGCCAACAACCAGAAAGGAACTGATTTCCTCAGTCCAACAGCCCAGGAGGAAGCGACACCTGCCAGGAGTCAAATGAGTGAGTTTAAAAGTGGATCTACCTCCATCAGAGCCTTCAGATGACTGGGTACTTGCCAACACCCTGACTGCAGCCTTATAAGAGGACCTGAACCAGGAGACCCAGCTAAGCTACACCTGGATTCCTAACCACAGAAACTGTGAGATAATAAACATTTGCTGCTTTAAGCCACTAAGTTTTACAAGTTTCTCCAGTGGTTTTCTTCTCATATTCTTCTGGCTGATTCTTCAGTTTTCTTGTAGGTTTATCTTCCTCTGCCCACCCTCAATATTGGTGTTTCTCTGTCATTTCCTAGCAATCTCACCCACTTTTACTGTTTTAACTCCCACTTATAACTTATGATTGTTAAATCTATATCTCTTGCTGCATATTCTCCCCTGAGTTCCAGACCCATAGCTTGTCTTCCTTCAGTCGTTTCCACGTAGGTAATTCATATGTATCTCTAGCTTAGCAAGTTCCATGTTTTATCTTGATTAGATAGGAGCAATGATAATCTTTTAATCTTTTGTGCAGCAATAGAAAACTAATACAGATTGATGTTAGGAAGATAACATCAGTGCTATGAATATAGTTAAAAACATGAACTATGAAGCCAAACTTCTGCCTTGGATGAGTTACCTAATCTCTACATACCTGTTTCTTCAACTGTGAAGTAGGACTAATAATACTTACCTCATAATGTGGTTAGAAAAATGAAGGAAGTTTCCTTGTAAGTTGTATTCCTAGGTATTTTATTCACTTTGTAGCAACTGCAAAAGGGAGTTTGCTCATGATTTGGCTCTCTGTTTTTCTATTATTGGTGTATAGGAATGCTTGTGATTTTTGCACATTGATTTTGTATCCTGAAACTTTGCTGAAGTTGTTTATCAGCTTAAGGAGTTTTTGGGCTGAGACAATGGGGTTTTCTAAATATACAATCATGTCATCTACAAATAGCGATAATATGACTTCCTCTCTTCCTATTTGAATACCTTTATTTCTTTCTCTTGCCTGATTGTCCTGGCCAGAACTTCCAATACTATGTGGAATAGGAGTGGTGAGAGAGGGCATCCTTGTCTTGTGCCAGTTTTCAAAGGGAATGCTTCCAGCTTTTGTCCAGTCAGTATGATATTGGCTGTGGGTTTTTCATAAATAGCTTTTTTTATTTTGACATATGTTCTGTCCATACCTAGTTTACTGAGTGTTAAGGACCTCTTTAAAGAGAACTACAAACCACTGCTCAAGGAAATAAGAGAGGACACAGACAAATGGAAAAATATTCCATGCTCACAGATAGAAAGAATCAATATTGTGAAAATGGCCATACTGCCCAAAGTAATTTAAAGATTCAATGCTATTCTCATCAAGCTACCACTGACTTTCTTCATGATTCAGAAAAAACTTCTTTAAATTTCATATGGAACCAAAAAAGAGCCCGTATAGCCAAGACAATCCTAAGCAAAAATAACAAAGCTGGAGGCATCATGCTACCTGACTTCAAACTATACTACAATGCTACAGTAAACAAAACAGCATGGTAGTGGTACCAAAACAGATATCTAGACCAACGGAACAGAACAGAGGCCTCAGAAATAACACCACACATCTACAACCATCTGATCTTTGACAAACCTTACAAAAACAACCAATGGGGAAAGGATTCCCTATTAAATAAATGTTGTTGGGAAAACTGGCTAGCCATATGCAGAAAACTGAAATGGGACCCCTTCCTTACACCTTGTACAAAAATTAACTCAAGACGGATTAAAGATTTAAACATAAGAACTAAAACCATAAAAACCCTAGAAGAAAACCTAGGCAATACCATTCAGGACATAGGCATGGGCAAAGACTTCATGACTAAAACACCAAAAGCAATGGCAACAAAAGCCCAAATTGAGAAATGGGATCTAATTAAACAAAAGAGCTCCTGCACAGCAAAAGAAACCATCATCAGAGTGAACAGGGAACATTCAGAATGGGAGAAAATTTTTGCAATCTATCCATCTGACAAAGGGCTAATACCAAGAATCTACAGGGAACTTAAACAAATTTACAAGAAATAAAAACCATCAAAAAGTGGGCAAAGGATATGAACAGACACTTTTCAAAAGAAGACATTCATGCAGTCAACAAATATATGAAAAAAAGCTCATCATCACTAGAGAAATCCAAACCAAAACCACAATGAGATAGCATGTCATGTCAGTTAGAATGGGATCATTAAAAAGTCAGGAAACAACAGATGCTGGAGAGGATGTGGAGAAAGAGGAATGCTTTTACACTGTTGGTGGGAGTGTAAATTAGTTCAACCATTGTGGAGGACAGTGTGGCGATTCCTCAAGGATCTAGAACTAGAAAATACCATTTGACCCAGCAATCCCATTGCTGGGTATATACCCAAAGGATTATAAATCATTCTACTATAAAGACACATGCACATGCATGTTTATTGTGGCACTATTCACAATAGCAAAGACTTGGAACCAACCCAGATGCCCATCAATGTTGGACTGGATAAAGAAAATGTGGCACATATACACCATGGAACACTATGCAGCCATAAAAAGGAATGAGTTCATGTCCTTTGCAGGAACATGGATGAAGCTGGAAACCATCATTCTCAGCAAACTAACACAAGAACAGAAAACCAAACACTGCATGTTCTCACTCATAAGTGAGAGTTGAACAGTAAGAACACATGGGCACAGGGAGGGGAACATCACACACCAGGGCCTGTCAGGGGGTGTTGAGCAAAGGGAGGGACAGCATTAGGAGAAATACCTAATGTAGATGACAGGTTGATGGGAGCAGCAAAGCACCATTGCATGTGTATACCTATGTAACAGAACTGCATGTTCTACACCTGTATCCCAGAATTTAAGTATAATCTTAAAAAATAAAAAAAATTGAAAACAAAATGAATGAAGTTAATATTTATAAAAGACTTAGAAATTGCCTGTCACAAGGTACTACAGTGTTTTTTAAAGAAAAAAAGTATATACATGATCCTCTCCTATCACTACCTCATATAGTTTATTTCCAGTCAATCACCTAATTTAATACTCTGAACAACTATATGAAGTAAGTATTGCAATTATTCTTCCCCATTTCATAGGAATTCCTTTTACTCAAAGGAATAGGTAACAAGTTGTGTGACCTATAATAGATGTTCTATAAGTATTTACTGGGGGAAAAACAAGCCAAACTAAACTTTTTAAAAATGGAGATATTTATCCTCTTTAAATTGTAATAAGATCTATCTGTCATTAATTACCCTCAATACTAAAGTTTTTTTACAGATCTTTCTCATTTTGGAGAAATGTATTACAAAAATTATCCAGCTAAGCTGAGAAACTACAAAAAAGGTTATATAGAAAAAATATGTATGTTATTTCAACTATCACATATGACATCTAATCCTATTACAATGGATAGAAAAAGGTTTGCACTGACAGGCATAATACTGGAGGAAATTGAGTGACACACATTTCCTACTTTGAAGGGTGCAGTAGCCTCAGTACTGCCTAAGTAAACATCAACACATACTTTTAATACAACCAACAGAGGTCAAAACTGATGTAAAAGTTCACAAACCTATGATGATTTACATTTGCAGTAAGAAAATATTTTCAATTATATTCCATTACTCAAGAATCTTGAGTAATGTTTTACTCAAGGTTTTTTGGCTGCATAAATGTCTTCTTTTGAGAAGTGTCTGTTCATGTCCTTCGCCCACTTTTTGGTGGGGTTGTTTGTTTTTTTCTTGTAAATTTGTTTGAGTTCATTATAGATTCTGGATATTAGCCCTTTGTCAGATGAGTAGGTTGCGAAAATTTTCTCCCATTTTGTAGGTTGCTTGTTCACTCTGATGGTAGTTTCTTTTGCTATGCAGAAGCTCTTTAGTTTAATTAGATCCCATTTGTCAATTTTGTCTTTTGTTGCCATTGCTTTTGGTGTTTTAGACATGTTGCCCATGCCTATGTCCTGAATGGTAATGCCTAGGTTTTCTTCCAGGGTTTTTATGGTTTTAGGTCTAAAAAAATGCGCACCATCACTGGCCATCAGAGAAATGCAAATCAAAACCACAATGAAATACCATCTCACACCAGTTAGAATGGCAATCATTAAAAAGTCAGGAAACAACAGGTGCTGGAGAGGATGTGGAGAAATAGGAACACTTTTACACTCTTGGTGGGACTGTAAACTAGTTCAACCATTGTGGAAGTCAGTGTGGTGATTCCTCAGGGATCTAGAACTAGAAATACCATTTGACCCAGCCATCCCATTACTGGGTATATACCCAAAGGACTATAAATCATGCTGCTATAAAGACACATGCACATGTATGTTTATTGCGGCACTATTCACAATAGCAAAGACTTGGAACCAACCCAAATGTCCAACAATGATAGACTGGATTAAGAAAATGTGGCACATATACACCATGGAATACTATGCAGCCATAAAAAATGATGAGTTCATGTCCTTTGCAGGGACATGGATGAAATTAGAAATCATCATTCTCAGTAAACCATCGCAAGGACAAAAAACCAAACACCGCATGTTCTTACTCATAGGTGGGAATTGAACAATGAGAACACATGGACACAAGAAGGGGAACATCACACTCTGGGGACTGTGGTGGGGTGGGGGGAGGGGGGAGGGATAGCATTGGGAGATATACCTAACGCTAAATGACGAGTTAATGGATGCAGCACACCAGCATGGCACATGTATACATAAGTAACTAACCTGCACATTGTGCACATGTACCCTAAAACTTAAAGTATAATAATAATAAAATAAAAAATTTTTTAAAAAAAGAAAAAAAAAGAATCTTTCATCTTAATAATATTTATCATGATGGGCTACTTAAGAGTGGTACATCCATTTTAAGGCCATTTTTTTTTTTTTTTTTTTTTTTTTTTGAGACGGAGTCTCGCTCTGTCGCCCAGGCTGGAGTGCAGTGGCGGGATCTCGGCTCACTGCAAGCTCCGCCTCCTGGGTTCACGCCATTCTCCTGCCTCAGCCTCCCAAGTAGCTGGGACTACAGGCGCCCGCCACTACGCCCGGCTAATTTTTTGTATTTTTAGTAGAGACGGGGTTTCACCGTTTTAGCCGGGATGGTCTCGATCTCCTGACCTCGTGATCCGCCCGCCTCGGCCTCCCAAAGTGCTGGGATTACAGGCGTGAGCCACCGCGCCCGGCCCAAGGCCACTTTATTGAATGTGAACCCTCTTGACTGGGGAAGGGGCTATCTGCAGTGAGCATTTGTTCATTACTCCTCCTGGCTACTAATCATCATCCTCACAAATGAAGGCACCGATAAACTTGACCCTAATGGCCTAACCCTGAAGCTGATAGGGTTCATACTTAGCCCTAAGTAAACCACATCACCAAGCCACAAAAATCCTCAATGTCAAAGGTGTTAGCCATGTACCAAGTTGATCTTTTCAAGCTAATACCAAGAGTCTCAAAACAAGCTTGACTCCAAGTCCCAATCTTGTTAGGTTCAGGATGGTCCCAACTTAATCTATTTATTCAATACCTAATTAGCCCATACTTTCTTATGTGCCAGACACTGTTCTAACTCTGAAACAAAGAAAACACTATCTGCCTGTGTGGAGTTATATTCAGAGGATACTAAAAATAAGCCAAATAAATAAGATACACAGTATAAGATGCTTAACAGCCAAGAAGATAAAATAAAAAGCAAGGGAAGAGGAATACTTTAAGAGTCAGTAGAAAGAGATTAAATTTTAAAATTCAGAGGGTGACCAGTGAAACACTCACCAAGATGGAAACATGTAAGTAGAGATTTTGAGGAAATGAGAAGTGAGCATGTGGATAAATGTCAGAACAACAAAAAAATTCAGGCAGAGGAAATAACGAGTGAGGCAAAAGCATGCCTGGATGGTAGGACAAATAGTAAAGAGGGCTAGTGTGGCTGACGAAGACTGAGCAAGGAGAAGTTGTAGAAGATGAGATCCGAGAGGGAATAGAGAGCCAGGCCATGCAGGACTTCATGAGTTACACATGCTCTGATTTACATTTTAACTGTATCTCTCTAGCTGTTATGTTAAGAAGAAACTGAAGGAGACAAGAAGCAGAAGATGAAGACCAGCCGGGAGCTACTGCAGAATTCAGGTGGCAGCCTGGATCAGGGTAGGAGCATTGAGGAGAGGTAAAATCCTCTATATATTTTGAAGGCCAGCCAATGAGATTTTGCTAGCAGGTTAGAGATGGGACATGAAAAGTAGAGATGATGCCAAGGTATTAGGCCTGAGTTGCTATGGTCAAAGAAGGAAAGACTGCAAGAGTAGCAGATTACTGGGGAGAATACAGGGAGATCAGTTTGGGGCATGTCATCTTGAGATGTCTAATAGACATTTCTACTATAGTAGAAATTAGGGCTGTTCACAAACAATGATTTTTTTCCTCCTTTCAAGTACTTTAGAGAATTGTACTTCCCTATCCTCTTTGACTTGATTTGTCCAAATGGAAAGGGAACAGAATTACTTCTGTCACTTCTGGTCAGAAGCTTTAAGAATCAGGGTGAGATTAGTCTCATCCCCTTTCTCTGCCAGGGTGATCAAAAGAACTGAGCCACCAGCCAACCTATTTTGCAATGTAGCATGGATAAGAAATAAACATGTGTGTTAAGCCCTCGAGGATTTGGAGACTGTTAGTTATTGCAGCATATTTACATTATGCAGACTGATACAAGATTCAAGTGGAGAAGTTAAGAAGGCAGTTGGGTATGATTCTCAAGTAAAGGGGGAATAAAATTTGGAGAATTGTCAGGACATAAAAAATTAAACAATGAGATTAGATGAAATTAATAAGGGAACTAGTGACGTTGTGAACAGTCTTGGAGAACTCCAAGATATTGAAGGGTCTGGGAATGAAGGAAATCCCATAGGTTGAAAAGAACCACCAAGAAAGGAAGGAGGAAATGCCATTGAGTGAAGTGTCCTGAAAGCCAAATGAAGGAAATGTTTCCAGGAAAAGAAAGCATCTATTGAATTAAATGCTGTCGATAGATCTGAGGATGGGGAATAGGCCATTAGATGTAATTATGTGAATATTATTAAGGACCTTTATAAAGCATTTTTTGTTAGCTATGACCCAAGACCACTTCTGCACTTTGTCCTGGGAATAAGGCAAAAGGGGTTATTTAATAGCTGAGTTTAATCTTTCTATGGTGGGTAACATATTCTGATGATGTTAAATTCAATATTTTTCTGCAAGGAAGCTGAGTATATTTCTGTTTTTAACAGCATTCAACAGGCCTTATTATGTTCTTTGTTATTCTTATCTTGTTTTGTAGCTTAATGTTACCAGCTTCATAAGTCATCCTGAAATCAGAGGATATTCTTATCTTTCTGAAATCTTTGTTTCATCATTCTCACCTCCCTTTACCTCTAAACATTCTATCATTCCACCCTGACATTTCAAGAAATTATGGAAGTCTCCTTTTCAAGCTCGAATTATTGTCAATACTTGATCTCACCTTCTTTGAACATCTCATTTTAATGCTCATTATACTGTATTGTTGTTTACTAAATTATCCATTTGTAATAAACATCAAAATTTCATAATGCCCTTCAGTCTTCTCTGACTACAGGAAGCAAACAGAGAAATAAAGTAATAGCATATTTCTGCTTTTTTGTCTGACAATTCTTATGTTGCCTAGCAGTGGAAGTATTTTAAACAGCAACAAGTACAATGTTGTCAAATACCAGCAAATAAAATAAACATAGGATACTTCCCTCCCTTTTTCCCCAAATGTATTCCATGTCCCCGAATTCTATGTGCCATAGAAAATATTGGTCCATAACTGATAATGTTCAATTAGTGTAGGAAATAAAGCATCATGCAAAGCATCATGCTAAACATCCATTCTTTAATTTCCCACGTTACATTCAATTACCCTAATATATCTGTTGTGAATAATTTTCTCTTCCACTGCATAAATATTTTCCACCTTTTGAATATACAATATATAACCTATTAAATAGTAGTTGAGCCATTCAGTGTTAAGACATTCATTCTCACAGACATACACATAGTAAATATCCTTTCGGTTACAGAAGGCTTGCTAAATTGACACTTATGGGACTAGCTAAATTAAATTCCTCTTTTTTTCCTTGTATTAAGTCTTTAGCTTACTTTGGAGATATTCTTGCAGACTTCCATGTCTCATCAACTCTGTAATAATATAAATTGGATCTTCTAAAGTGCAAACAGCATAAAGCTGGATAAGCTTTGGATGTCTTAGGTTCTTCATTATCTGTGCCTCCCTCAGGAAGTCATTTGGATCCATTGAACCTGAAACAAGAAGAGGGAGAAATCACTTTATGTTATTGAGGCATTCCTATCCTCACAGCAGCCTGGTGGGAATCATCAAGATTGCCTCCTGCTTCTCAGTAGAGTAAGAGCCTCAGTATCACAAATCTTCAGAGTTATCAAAAAGAGAATCAGTTCAGCCAGAGCAACCTAGTAACTGGATGTGTTGGTGCATCAGGAGTATACGGTTTATATGTTATGACCTGTAGGTGAAGAGAGGTTGATTCAGATCTACATGAAAAATGAAGGAAAAAGGAGAGACTGACAATCTAACTGATAAAACAAGGCATCTTAACACAAAAGGAAAACATTCTATGAACACGAGCGCTGAAGGTCACTGAATATTTAATTACTGCAACCAGAGACTGATACCTGCCCTGTCCTTGGTGCCCACTGTGGGAACAGCTGGACAAAAATCCTAAAACAGTGACATTCTGCCATACTTTTGTCTTTAATTCTGTAGGAACATAGTGTGTAGACCAAGTGGAAAACATCCAAGACCATCCCCAAAAGTTAATGGGGTTTTTTTCACATGTTTTATATGTTCAACTCGAAACTGATATTTAATATTTTCTCCTGTACTATCTGCTTCCACAGTCAGAGCCTTAATAGCATGGCCAAATGGAGGAGAGACAATATTAAGGCCTATTTAGAAGACTTGTCTGCAATTAAATCGTATTTTAATGGATCCACTCTGACTCATCATGCAAGGTGTCAAGTAGTTGACATCAAATAAAATCTAAGAGGAGGAAGATTATCTGGAGTTTACATTTCATCAGTAATTTTAAAATCTTTTCTTTTAGAATATGATGTTTCAGAGGCATTACTGTAATTAAAGGAATACTGTCATTTCACATCTTAGTATTCACTATGAATAATGCAAATATGGTTTCCATTGATGCTCAAAGAGACTACTACATTCATCATCCTCTCGATGTTGAAGACTTTACAACTGATATTTAAACCCAGACATGGATAAGCTTTGACATTCTAAGGCAAAACTATGACTTGTTTATTAATGTGAAGTTGAGTTAGTTACATGTGACCTGCACATCATTTCACATAAAACATTTGAGCAGTCTCCCCTTTGAGAACCCAGAAGTTCAGAACTGGACTAATCAGACTCTGCATTCTAGACAAATCTCAACTCTCTGCCACTAGTGCCCTGTGTGATCTTGAGCAAGTTATCAAACCTCTCTAAACTTCAGTTTCTTCATCTGTAAAACATGCCTAATAATTTACTGACATTGTAAGATCATTACCAAGATAATAGCAATGCCTGCACGTATGTATTCAATGACTGTTGATCATTATTTATATTATCATTGATATGCATAGTCTTGGAAAAACCAAACAGACCAGCTGTAAGTATATTTCACAGGCTAAGGAAGAAAAAGGACAAGGACTTAAAGAGAGAGAATAGGAGAAAATGGCCGATTCTCTTTTCCGTTACATGTTTCTGAGCTCCATCAATTCCATCTCTACCACTGGTTTACTCCACACAGTCAAATAGGATTAAAATTTGGAATCATAGTCACAAAATGGAGCTGAGAATAAGAGACACCTAAATCATAATAAGGGACTTTGTTCTTAATTGTTACAACTAGTTTGGCCTATGGTCAAATATAATATAGTGGGGAATCCCCCCACTACCACCCCCCCCAAAAAAGAAGCTTCCAATGATAGCAGTAATTATGATAACCATACAGAAAATTAGGCTGGGCATGGTGGCTCAAGCCTGTGATCCCAGAACTTTGGGAGGCCAAGGCAGGCGGATAACTTGAGGTCAGGAGTTAAGAGACCAGCCTGGCCAACATGGTGAAACCATGTCTCTACTAAAAATATAAAAATTAGCCAGGCATGGTGTCAGGTGCCTGTAATCCCAGCTACTCGGGAGGCTGAGGCAGAAGAATCACTTGAACCCAGGAGGTGGAGGTTACAGTGAGCTGAGATCACACCATTGCACTCCAGCCTGGGAAATAGAGTGAGACTCTGTCTCAAAAAAGGAAAGAAAGAAAAGAAAGAAAGAAAGAAAGAAAGAAAGAAAGAAAGAAAGAAAGAAAGAAAGAAAGAAAGAAGAAAGAAAGAAAGAAAGAAAGAAAGAAAGAAAGAAAGAAAGAAAGAAAGAAAGAAAGAAAGAGGGGGGGGAAGGAGAGAGAGAAAGAAAGAAAAAGAAAGAAAGAAAGAAAGAAAAAGAAAGAAAGAAAGAAAGAGAAAGGAAAAAGAAAATTATATATACAATATATATTTATGTTAATGAAATTTCTATGTTGTGTGGCTATCAGATTCAAGCAATACAGGACACTCAAACTCATTCCCAAATCAGACTATGCACAAGAACTGAAATCACAGTAGGTCAGAAGCCTCTGCAGGTGAAGACTGTTTCAGAGCACTCCTTCATGGCCATGCTGGTTATAGCTCCCCAGCTGCAGAGTAAAGGAAACCCAATCTCAACTCAGCTAGTAATGTAACATTAAATATTAATTTTTGCCTGTCAAAGCTACTGTGGGAGTTCATTTCAGGCTCATCTTTATTGCGTAGTAGCCTGCTCAGCAATAAATAGCCGCTCATATTGATTAATGGCCCCAGTGAAGTGAAGACATTTAACCAATCACTAAAGCTGTTTGTGGCTATTACACTGTAAATCAATAATAATTATTCCTGTTGGAGAGAAAACTATCGTGGTTTTTTTTTAACATGAGAAATCTGACTTTTTTGTTGTCTTTTGACTTCCCAAAGGGCTTCCTTAGAGAACAACGTTAGGAAGGCTAGCTAGCTGCCTCTTCTTAGAAAAGAATTATTAGATTGGACAATAAAGTTCAGCCACCATTTATTAACAAGATTAGGGTTTAAAAGCATATACACAGTGATTGTGAAAATCTCAGGTGCTAGAATAGAATGTCCTCACCTGGAGCACTCACATAGCATCTGGCCACTTTAAAGTGCCTGTCTCTTGCTTCATCTGCCAGATGAAAATGCTGAAACTGAATTCCTGCACTAGTAAATTTGCACTTCAGTGGACACATCTGTCAGCAGCCCCATGGAGGCTAACATTTATTAAGAACTTGCTGCATATACTTTACGTATATTGACTCCATTTGTCCTCATAAAACCCTAGAAATTAGGAACTATTATGATTCCCACTTCCAGATGAGAAGATTCCAAAAGGTTAAAAATTGTCTGAAGTCACAGAGGGCAGAGCCAGGTTTAAACACAGATTTATCTTATATCGAATTTGACACTATTCACTTGTTACACCAGAGGATCCCAGTGTTTTCAGTTCGTGGAACCCTTAGTGTCTCCATAACTTTTTTCATGATGTCTCTAAGTGAAAATAAAAAAAAAAACTAACAGTTATTTTGATTACTGGGTTAGATCCAAACAAGTTAAGAAGTATTTATCTAGGGGAGGAGCCAAGATGGCCGAATAGGAACAGCTCCTGTCTACAGCTCCCAGCGTGAGCGACGCAGAAGACGGGTGATTTCTGCATTTCCATCTGAGGTACCGGGTTCATCTCACTAGGGAGTGCCAGACAGTGGGCGCAGGCCAGTGTGTGCGCGCACCGTGCGCGAGCCGAAGCAGGGCGAGGCATTGCCTCACCTGGGAAGCGCAAGGGGTCAGGGAGTTCCCTTTCCGAGTCAAAGAAAGGGGTGACGGACGCACCTGGAAAATCGGGTCACTCCCACCCGAATATTGCGCTTTTCAGACCGGCTTAAAAAACGGCGCACCACTAGACTATATCCCACACCTGGCTCAGAGGGTCCTACGCCCACGGAATCTCGCTGATTGCTAGCACAGCAGTCTGAGATCAAACTGCAAGGCGGCAGCGAGGCTGGGGGAAGGGCGCCCGCCATTGCCCAGGCTTGCTTAGGTAAACAAAGCAGCCCGGAAGCTCGAACTGGGTGGAGCCCACCACAGCTCAAGGAGGCCTGCCTGCCTCTGTAGGCTCCACCTCTGGGGGCAGGGCACAGACAAACAAAAAGACAGCAGTAACCTCTGCAGACTTAAGTGTCCCTGTCTGACAGCTTTGAAGAGAGCAGTGGTTCTCCCAGCACGCAGCTGGAGATCTGAGAACGGGCAGACTGCCTCCTCAAGTGGGTCCCTGACCCCTGACCACCGAGCAGCCTAACTGGGAGGCACCCCCCAGCAGGGGCACACTGACACCTCACACGGCAGGGTATTCCAACAGACCTGCAGCTGAGGGTCCTGTCTGTTAGAAGGAAAACTAACAACCAGAAAGGACATCTACACCGAAAACCCATCTGTACATCACCATCATCAAAGACCAAAAGTAGATAAAACCACAAAGATGGGGAAAAAACAGAACAGAAAAACTGGAAACTCTAAAACGCAGAGCGCCTCTCCTCCTCCAAAGGAACGCAGTTCCTCACCAGCAACGGAACAAAGCTGGATGGAGAATGATTTTGACGAGCTGAGAGAAGAAGGCTTCAGACGATCAAATTACTCTGAGCTACGGGAGGACATTCAAACCAAAGGCAAAGAAGTTGAAAACTTTGAAAAAAATTTAGAAGAATGTATAACTAGAATAACCAATACAGAGAAGTGCTTAAAGGAGCTGATGGAGCTGAAAACCAAGGCTCGAGAACTACGTGAAGAATGCAGAAGCCTCAGAAGCCGATGCGATCAACTGGAAGAAAGGGTATCAGCAATGGAAGATGAAATGAATGAAATGAAGCAAGAAGGGAAGTTTAGAGAAAAAAGAATAAAAAGAAATGAGCAAAGCCTCCAAGAAATATGGGACTATGTGAAAAGACCAAATCTACGTCTGATTGGTGTACCTAAAAGTGATGTGGAGAATGGAACCAAGTTGGAAAACACTCTGCAGGATATTATCCAGGAGAACTTCCCCAATCTAGCAAGGCAGGCCAACGTTCAGATTCAGGAAATACAGAGAACGCCACAAAGATACTCCTCGAGAAGAGCAACTCCAAGACACATAATTGTCAGATTCACCAAAGTTGAAATGAAGGAAAAAATGTGAAGGGCAGCCAGAGAGAAAGGTCGGGTTACCCTCAAAGGAAAGCCCATCAGACTAACAGCGGATCTCTCGGCAGAAACCCTACAAGCCAGAAGAGACTGGGGGCCAATATTCAACATTCTTAAAGAAAAGAATTTTCAACCCAGAATTTCATATCCAGCCAAACTAAGCTTCATAAGTGAAGGAGAAATAAAATACTTTATAGACAAGCAAATGCTGAGAGATTTTGTCACCACCAGGCCTGCCCTAAAAGAGCTCCTGAAGGAAGCGCTAAACATGGAAAGGAACAACCGGTACCAGCCGCTGCAAAATCATGCCAAAATGTAAAGACCATCGAGACTAGGAAGAAACTGCATCAACTAACGAGCAAAATCACCAGCTAACATCATAATGACAGGATCAAATTCACACATAACAATATTAACTTTAAATATAAATGGAGTAAATTCTGCAATTAAAAGACACAGACTGGCAAGTTGGATAAAAAGTCAAGACCCATCAGTGTGCTGTATTCAGGAAACCCATCTCACGTGCAGAGACACACATAGGCTCAAAATAAAAGGATGGAGGAAGATCTACCAAGCCAATGGAAAACAAAAAAAGGCAGGGGTTGCAATCCTAGTCTCTGATAAAACAGACTTTAAACCAACAAAGATCAAAAGAGACAAAGAAGGCCATTACATAATGGTAAAGGGATCAATTCAACAAGAGAGGCTAACTATCCTAAATATTTATGCACCCAATACAGGAGCACCCAGATTCATAAAGCAAGTCCTGAGTGACCTACAAAGAGACTTAGACTCCCACACATTAATAATGGGAGACTTTAACACCCCACTGTCAACATTAGACAGATCCATGAGACAGAAAGTCAACAAGGATACCCAGGAATTGAACTCAGCTCTGCACCAAGCGGACCTAATAGACATCTACAGAACTCTCCACCCCAAATCAACAGAATATACATTTTTTTCAGCACCACACCACACCTATTCCAAAATTGACCACATAGTTGGAAGTAAAGCTCTCCTCAGCAAATGTAAAAGAACAGAAATTATAACAAACTATCTCTCAGACCACAGTGCAATCAAACTAGAACTCAGGATTAAGAATCTCACTCAAAGCCGCTCAACTACATGGAAACTGAACAACCTGCTCCTGAATGACTACTGGGTACATAACGAAATGAAGGCAGAAATAAAGATGTTCTTTGAAACCAACGAGAACAAAGACACCACATACCAGAATCTCTGGGACGCATTCAAAGCAGTGTGTAGAGGGAAATTTATAGCACTAAATGCCCACAAGAGAAAGCAGGAAAGATCCAAAATTGACACCCTAACATCACAATTAAAAGAACTAGAAAAGCAAGAGCAAACACATTCAAAAGCTAGCAGAAGGCAAGAAATAACTAAAATCAGAGCAGAACTGAAGGAGATAGAGACACAAAAAAACCTTCAAAAAATCAATGAATCCAGGAGCTGGTTCTTTGAAAGGATCAACAAAATTGATAGACCGCTAGCAAGACTAATAAAGAAAAAAAGAGAGAAGAATCAAATAGACACAATAAAAAATGATAAAGGGGATATCACCACCGATCCCACAGAAATACAAACTACCATCAGAGAATACTACAAACACCTCTACGCAAATAAACTAGAAAATCTAGAAGAAATGGATAAATTCCTCAACACATACACTCTCCCAAGACTAAACCAGGAAGAAGTTGAATCTCTGAATAGACCAATAACAGGCTCTGAAATTGTGGCAATAATCAATAGTTTACCAACCAAAAAGAGTCCAGGACCAGATGGATTCACAGCCGAATTCTACCAGAGGTACAAGGAGGAACTGGTACCATTCCTTCTGAAACTATTCCAATCAATAGAAAAAGAGGGAATCCTCCCTAACTCATTTTATGAGGCCAGCATCATTCTGATACCAAAGCCAGGCAGAGACACAACCAAAAAAGAGAATTTTAGACCAATATCCTTGATGAATATTGATGCAAAAATCCTCAATAAAATACTGGCAAACCGAATCCAGCAGCACATCAAAAAGCTTATCCACCATGATCAAGTGGGCTTCATCCCTGGGATGCAAGGCTGGTTCAATATACGCAAATCAATAAATGTAATCCAGCATATAAACAGAGCCAAAGACAAAAACCACATGATTATCTCAATAGATGCAGAAAAAGCCTTTGACAAAATTCAACAACCCTTCATGCTAAAAACTCTCAATAAATTAGGTATTGATGGGACGTATTTCAAAATAATAAGAGCTATCTATGACAAACCCACAGCCAATATCATACTGAATGGGCAAAAACTGGAAGCATTACCTTTGAAAACTGGCACAAGACAGGGATGCCCTCTCTCACCACTCCTATTCAACATAGTGTTGGAAGTTCTGGCCAGGGCAATCAGGCAGGAGAAGGAAATAAAGGGTATTCAATTAGGAAAAGAGGAAGTCAAATTGTCCCTGTTTGCAGACGACATGATTGTTTATCTAGAAAACCCCATTGTCTCAGCCCAAAATCTCCTTAAGCTGATAAGCAACTTCAGCAAAGTCTCAGGATACAAAATCAATGTACAAAAATCACAAGCATTCTTATACACCAACAACAGACAAGCAGAGAGCCAAATCATGAGTGAACTCCCATTCACAATTGCTTCAAAGAGAATAAAATACCTAGGAATCCAACTTACAAGGGATGTGAAGGACCTCTTCAAGGAGAACTACAAACCACTGCTCAAGGAAATAAAAGAGGACACAAACAAATGGAAGAACATTCCATGCTCATGGGTAGGAAGAATCAATATCGTGAAAATGGCCATACTGCCCAAGGTAATTTACAGATTCAATGCCATCCCCATCAAGCTACCAATGACTTTCTTCACAGAATTGGAAAAAACTACTTTAAAGTTCATATGGAACCAAAAAAGAGCCCGCATCACCAAGTCAATCCTAAGCCAAAAGAACAAAGCTGGAGGCATCACACTACCTGACTTCAAACTATACTACAAGGCTACAGTAACCAAAACAGCATGGTACTGGTACCAAAACAGAGATATAGATCAATGGAACAGAACAGAGCCCTCAGAAATAATGCCGCATATCTACAACTATCTGATCTTTGACAAACCTGAGAAAAACAAGCAATGGGGAAAGGATTCCCTATTTAATAAATGGTGCTGGGAAAACTGGCTAGCCATATGTAGAAAGCTGAAACTGGATCCCTTCCTTACACCTTATACAAAAATCAATTCAAGATGGATTAAAGATTTAAACGCTAGACCTAAAACCATAAAAACCCTAGAAGAAAACCTAGGCATTACCATTCAGGACATAGGCGTGGGCAAGGACTTCATGTCCAAAACATCAAAAGCAATGGCAACAAAAGCCAAAATTGACAAATGGGATCTAATTAAACTAAAGAGCTTCTGCACAGCAAAAGAAACTACCATCAGAGTGAACAGGCAACCTACAACATGGGAGAAAATTTTCGCAACCTACTCATCTGACAAAGGGCTAATATCCAGAATCTATAATGAACTCAAACAAATTTACAAGAAGAAAACAAACAACCCCATCAAAAAGTGGGCGAAGGACATGAACAGACACTTCTCAAAAGAAGACATTTATGCAGCCAAAAAACACATGAAAAAATGCTCATCATCACTGGCCATCAGAGAAATGCAAATCAAAACCACTATGAGATATCATCTCACACCAGTTAGAATGGCAATCATTAAAAAGTCAGGAAACAACAGGTGCTGGAGAGGATGTGGAGAAATAGGAACACTTTTACACTGTTGGTGGGACTGTAAACTAGTTCAACCATTGTGGAAGTCAGTGTGGCGATTCCTCAGGGATCTAGAACTAGAAATACCATTTGACCCAGCCATCCCATTACTGGGTATATACCCAAATGACTATAAATCATGCTGCTATAAAGACACATGCACACGTATGTTTATTGCGGCATTATTCACAATAGCAAAGACTTGGAACCAACCCAAATGTCCAACAATGATAGACTGGATTAAGAAAATGTGGCACATATACACCATGGAATACTATGCAGCCATAAAAAATGATGAGTTCATGTCCTTTGTAGGGACATGGATGAAATTGGAAACCATCATTCTCAGTAAACTATCGCAAGAACAAAAAACCAAACACCGCATATTCTCACTCATAGGTGGGAATTGAACAATGAGATCACATGGACACAGGAAGGGGAATATCACACTCTGGGGACTGTGGTGGGGTCGGGGGAGGGGGGAGGGATAGCATTGGGAGATATACCTAATGCTAGATGACACGTTAGTGGGTGCAGCGCACCAGCATGGCACATGTATACATATGTAACTAACCTGCACAATGTGCACATGTACCCTAAAACTTAAAGTATAATAAAAAAAAAATTAAAAAAAAAAAGAAATACTTAAAAAAAAAAGAAGTATTTATCTTAACAATTTAATAGCCATTTGAAAAAGTAACACAGGTAAATTGAAAGGAAAACATAATTCTTCACTTAATTCTTAACTACAAGTGCTTACTAAAGTGATATATGCATCCCTGGGACACTGCACAATTTCTCCAATCTTAGAATCAGATGAAGCACTGCTACCCCCATTTTCTGGTCCATATTGATTTTTGTGTGGATTTTGCATTTGACCATAGCAACTATCAAAAACCCAGCTTCACAAAGATATGATGTCAACAAAAGGAATGTTGTTCTAAAGTTGAAACTATGAACTACTTCAAGGTAGCAGCTTGTACAATATTCAGGATGTTGACTTCAAAACTTTTAAGTATTCCACAGCACTCTTGTGAATTCACCATGGTGCCCCCATGAGCCTTGGCACACAGTTTGGGAACCATGGTGTTACCCTATGCTGCTAGCCAACAAATCCCAAGAGCTCAAGTTCTGCCACCAGGAGGTTTACCAAACCTCTAAGAATTCTGGGCTAGGTAAATAATGCAGGTCTCCCAGAAAACTACAATCTAGCCTATGTTGATTATTCTTACCTCTGTTATAAAGGTATATATGAGGCTACTATAGCAATGTTGCACTTTTATAGACTGTCACTTCCATGGAGCGTGAGGCAATAGTAATAAATGTGAGTTCAAATCCCAGCTATGCCATTTACTGACTTTTTCCTTATTATAATAATAGTTTTTATCCATCACTTACTGTGAACCAGGCACTATACAAAGCATGTCCACTAATGACCTAATTTATCTTCTCTGTTGGCCTTATTATTATCTCTATTTTACAAATGACAAAACTGAAGCATAGAGTTCAAAAATTTGCTCAAGATCATATGACCAGAAATATTTGGAAAGTTACTTAGTCCCTCTTTAAAATGGAGGGAATAAAGCCTGGCTGAATAAATACTGATTTCAGTATAATTTTACTTGCCATCACAGGAAAAAGGAAGATGGAAGGGAAAAAAAGTTCCTACATTTTCAAATACAAGTTTCTTTAGATGGACCATTTTGCCTTTTAACCATACAAAATTAATACTTTTAAAAATAGTTGTTCCCTGAATAGTATCAAGATTCCTTCTGATTTTTTAAATATTTTCAGCTAAGTCAATATCTTTTAACTAAGGCTAGGAACAAAATGGGAAGAAGGACATTGGAAGACTGAATCCTAATTCAGAGAAGAGATGAGTTGTCAGACTCTTCAATCAGCGATATTTTAAGACTCAGCTGAACCAGGAAGTGTGTTCTTGTTTTTATATTTTAATGCCTTATCCATAGGTTGGGGTCACCTGGGCTAGAGACAATGACCACAACACCTGCTTGCTGCCAGTATTAGCCACCCTATGACCTCTTAGATATTTACAGTGTTAAATTGAGCTCATAAAAATCAACATATGCCATTTAACCTTTATTGTTCTCGCACCTGGTTTTAATGTTTTCACTGCTACTGGAGTGGTATTGTTCCACAGACCTTCCCATACTTCGCCAAACTGACCAGATCCCAATCGCTTCAGAAGCTGTATGGAGTTGCGGTCTATCTCCCATTGGTCCACGGTTTTATACGACAAATCAAATGGAGCTGGGACCTGGATCTGTTTCATAGAATAATAAGAGCAATTGTTAAAAAAAAAAAAGTAGATTTAATATTATTTTGTTGAAAATAATAGTCTAGGTACTTTTAAATAAAACTTCTTAAAACAAAATATTGTAAACTGTATTATAATTACTTCAAAAACAAAAAGTATGGTGGGAGAATCTGCATTTGTTAACTCTTCAAATTGATCTTCCAGATCTTGGGAAGTCAGGCACCTCGTTGTCTACCTGTCTGATCCCATACCTAATGCCATCCTCACTCAGGTCTGGAATGACTTCTCCCTACCTCTTCGCCTAGCTAAATCCTCTCAGTTTCAAGGCCCAGCTGAAGTTCCCTCTCACCCACAAATCCTTCCCAAATTCTTTGGCTATAGTTTTATTATATGTATCACCTATTTTTGCATAATTAAATGTTTTATATTTTTCAAACTCATTTTTTCATTTCTTTATTTGTTCATTCATTTAGTTACTCATTCATTTAGTAAGTAAAATTGTTTTAAGAATTGACTAGGTTCTTTTCTATAAACAAAACAAGCAAGACCCCTGCCTTCCTAGAACTCATATTCTAGTTTACCACCTGCCCTATGGTCTCCGTTGCACCTTCTAAACTCTGCTGTTATGGCACAAAAGAATCCAAAGAAAACTCATATATGAATGAGCATCTGTGCAAATAAAACTTATTTACAAAAACAAGCATACGTCAGTGTGAGCTCATAGGCCATGGTTTGCCTATACCCGCCTGAGGTAATAAAATGACAATTTTTTTCCTGAACTGATATTCCATGAAAAATACTCAGATATCTGAAGGAAAAAAGTTAACTTCAATAAAAAAACACAGCTTGAAAGCATTTTCACCTTTAAGCATGGTTTCCCCAGCTTGACACACAGGCCGTCACTTGTCTTGGTGTAGTGGCTCACAAATTCGTTCAGTGTTGAAAAGATTCTTCTTCGCGTGAGAAAAAATCCCCCTTCATCCAGTCTTTTAATTCTGTAGTGTTTTACAACTGCTCCATCTAAAACTGGAACCCAAAATAATTCCTGTTAATAAACTTCTTGCTAAAACCAAGCAGATTTATTTACTTTGTGGTGACATTTTCAATGCATAAAATGAAATCTATATAAAATTATATGTGTTTCTCAACTTTGTCTCAGAAAAGATTTAAGAAAGTTTACAAAGGATATAGAACAAAAGAGAGAGTGTGAGAACTGGGAAACAATACTGAAGGAAATAGAAAAATAAAGGGGTGAGGCTAGCACTAAAAGAATCCATGCTTCAAAGCCTAGTATACTTGATTAAAACAAGCCATAAAATTGACTCTATCACTCTAGCAATGCAAAGAAGGACACCTTACCATTTTGAGGAATCACAGTATCCATAAGATAAAATCATGAAAGGTTTTTAGAAACAGTTTGACTCTTCCTGGTGCAGAGACCAGGGAGAAATTTCTCCCATGAAATCCTATAATGTGGCTTTGGAAATAAACAGTGTGCTCAATACCGTCTTACAATAATGCATGAAATTCCACAGGACTGTTCATTATATTGTACCTCAATGCAGACTGGTAACAGAATGCCCTAACACAGTTCAATAAAAGCAATTCCACAGAGCCTAAAATGATGCAGTCCACACATGCAACGTTCTAGCAGTATTGCTTCATCCAAGGGTAAGTCCTGTAGGACCTACAGGAATAACTAAACCGTGTTACTTTGACCTAGTCTGGCTTGCAGTGGCTATTTTGTTACTGTTGCCGCCCACCTACCATTGACCCTTCTTCTGTTAACAGCACCCCCAGTTTTCCTCAGAGAATTGTTGTTTCTCTGAAAGCGTGTGGTCCAGAGGGACCTGGTAGCCACCTGGAGCCGAAGAAGACATAATTAGTGCAATAAGAACCAAGGAACCCCAATTCCGGGACTTAATAGTTCCAGAAAGACAGGAAGAGTTTTGTTGCTGTGGCTGTTGTTTTGGTTTTGGTTTACTGATGGGAGTTTGGAGCTATTGACAGAATCCTGGCCTCCAGACAGGAAGCAAGCTTGCCTGAGAAGAGAAGCAGCCCAGTGGGAGGCAGTCTTGATTTGGAAAGTGAAGCTTAATCCCAGGAGCCAGCCAAGCCTGGCTTTTCAGCTACAAGAGTCAATTAATTACCTTTTTGGTTAAACTATTTTGAATAGGGATTTCTGCACTTACATTCAAAATATTGACTAATGCACTTTATACCTATGCTTTCACTTAGCAAAGTTGTTGATAAGTATTGGGCAGCATTTATCACCAGAATGCTATTCTGCATTCCTTGCTAAATATATAACTTTATGCTTCAATGATTAGTCAGGCTGGTGCAATGCTCTTATGATAGGAAAGAAGACATCCCACTTCCCATATGGAGGTTTACTGAGGGCATGCCAATAGCTAGGAATTTTTTTTTTTTTCAAAAACAGGAATTGGCACACACCAGAAAAGCTAAAATGAAAAAAGTATTAACAAGGAAGTGGAGTGACTTCCCACACACAGTTGATGGAAGAGTAATTTTTACCACCACTCTGGAAAACTGTTTTTCCTTATCTACTAGAGTTGAACACAGTCATACATGTCATACAGTAATTCCACTCCTAAGCATAAAATCAATAAAAGTGCACAATATATTCACCAAAACATGTGTTTAAGAATGTTTTTAGTTGCCTGATTTGTAAGGGTTCAAACCTGGAAACAATCCAAATGTTCATCAACACATAAATAGAACTATCCAAATGTTTATCAACTAAAAAACAATTGAATTAGCTAAAAAATTGTCATCTAGTGGAATGCAAATTTGTAAATAAACAAAAACTGCAGCTACACATAACAAAGTGAATGAATCTCGCAAACTCAAATATATAGTCTCATTATTAAAAAGCAAGGCTAAGCTGGGCGTGGTGGCTCACGCCTTTAGTCACAGCATCTGGGGAGGTTGAGATGGAAGAATTGCTTGAGGCTAGGTCTGCAAGCCAGTCTACGCAATGGTGGCAGACCCTGTCTCAACAAAAAATAATAATAATAATTGTTTTTAAATTAGCCAGGATTGGTGGCACACACCTGTAGTCACAGCTACTTGGGAAGCTGAGGCAGGAGGATCACTTCAGCCCAGAAGGTCAAGGCTGCAGAGAGTTATGATCGATTGTGCCACTATACTCAAGTCCAGCCTGGGCAACAGAACAAGACTGTCTCTAAAATAAGTAAATAAATAAATATCAAAAACAAGCAAAACTATTGATATGAGGGGTCAGTGACTGGGACGTTAACCTTATTCTGTTTCTTAACTTGGTGCTGGTTACCTGGATGAATTCACTTTGTACTCACCAAACTAAATTTTTATGAATTGTGTACTTTTATTATGTGTATCACACTTCAATTTAAAAGAATACTTTTAAAATGTCAGTGTTTTGCTTCTCTTTATGAACAAATGGGGAATCGAGTCTCCAAACTGCTATATTATGGTTCATGCTGTATTATTTCAGTATGGAAGGTTATTAAAGTAAATGTTACCTAATTTTCACCCTGGGTATAAAAATTCTCAGTAACATACACGTAGAATATTAACTTTAAGCAAATAAGTTTTCTAGTAAGCACTGTGAGAAACCTGGCTACAAAATGCCCTCCTAAATAACTGAGTTGACTTGCACTATAGGAGTATTTGCTATAAGCCAGAAAAATGCAAGGAAATATCAAACAAAAATCAAGACTTTAGGTGTACAACACTGAATTTGAAGGTAACCTTTCTAACACAGCATCAACCACAATAATGCAAACAATACACAGAAAAGCACAACTAATAATTAAAGCCTACACCTTTCATGTTCTTCCCAGTGGTCTTTAATTTGTAGTCTGTGAGAATAACACTCCCCTGTCCCTAGATGAAAGCTCCAGCAAAGTTTTTCTGCCCACTTTTAGGTATTAGACAGTCTTACTTCCACTTAAAATCACAAACAGTGTCTCAATTCAAGCCTAGATGCCCAGTCCCAGATGATAACCAAAACACTCTACTGCTACGTGATCAGATGTCGAATCTTCTCTCCTTCCCCAGCTCGGTCTGGCCCGCTTCAGGCAAAAGGCAGCAGTGGAAACATGGTATGGGTGCCTTCCTCTCTGTTTCTCTACTATAGCTGCTCCTCCACTTTTCCTTCCCAGCTGGGCTCTGAGCATCCAGACTAAGAGCAGAGAGAAGAGGGAGTAAAGAAGGAGAAGGCCACACTCAGTCAACTTCCCACTCCGAGCCTGCTGGCAGAAACTGAAGCTGACTCCTCTCTGGGACACTCATGCAGGCCCTTTGGGGCTTCCCTGTCTCTAAAGGAACCCTCACTGCAGCTGCTAAGATGCAGACATTTCTAGGATGCCTGCACCCAATTGCCTCTCAGCTTCTGTTTCCTGGGCAGTTCTCCCACCACATTCTCCCTTATAGGTCTCCTCTTATCCTCCAGCAGAAGCTTTCCTGGGCAAAACCCAAAACTCCTCCAGACTGTCCATCTACAGTGCCATGGCACTTTTGCTCATTAGGAGACCCACTTATGGTCCTGAGATAATATTTACACATCCCTTGCCCTGACAATTACTAGGAGGAGAGAGAAGCTGGTGCCCTAAGTTACCTCTATCCTACTTCCACAGGATGCTTTCACCTTCTCAACCTGAGTCAGGCACCTGTGTTCTATCCTCCCAACTGCAGAGGGTGGAGAGTTAGCTCTCAGAGTGGCCTTCCTGAAGCACCCTCTCACTAGGTTTGGGGTCCCATTCATTAGCCCAGGAATAAAGGGGGTTCCATAGTGTGCCAACAGCTTTCTTCAAAAGCAAAATGCCATCAGCAAATTCTTCCTCCATTCCACTCCTTGTATCCTTTCTAAATTATTAACAAGCTGAGAGATCCAAGAACAGCCATACCTATCTTTGACCAATTCCTTTGTCAACTGTGAGTATGGAGATCTGACTTTGAACTTCTACTTCTATTGTGTCTTAATAACCTCAATCAAAAACTCCATTTTAACATTGTTATATTCACATGTATTGACCCAAACACCATGCTAAGCATGATTTTACATTATTTTGTTGTAATCTTTTAACAGTCATATAAGGTAGTTATTAGGTCCATTTTACTACTCATAAAAGTCAGTAGATGGCACTGCCAGGATTCAACTTGGGGCCTTGTGACTCTAAGACGCTCTATAACCAGCAGATTTCACACAGCAGATCTAAATGTCTAAGAAGACACACCTCCAGTTCACGACAATAATATTATGTCATCTGTGTTCAGGAAAATGTGTTACTTTCAGCAGTGATATCATTCATTAATTTTAATGTTTTCCTTTACATTAAAATACAAAAGGCAAGAGTCCATTTAGTTCCTTCAAGAGCAATATCATTTTCTTAAACTTTTTTGTGTATCTGGAACACATCCTTGCACTCTGATTTGTCAAGCTACCATTCCTACTGGCTATGACTCTTAGGCCAGTGTTAATTGCCCTATATAATAATCATCAAATAGAGGACTTCTATCAGGATATAGAGCTTAGCTCATAATATATTCCTGAAGCTGGAAACCATCATTCTCAGCAAAATAACACAAGAACAGAAAACCAAACACCGCATGTTCTCACTCATAAATGGGAGTTGAACAATGAGAACACATGGACACAGGGAGGGGAGCATCACACACTGGGGCCTGTTGGGGGATGTGGGATTAAGGGTGGGATAGCATTAGGAGAAATACCGAATGTAGATGATGGTTGATGGGTGCAGCAAACCACCATGGCACGCGTATACTTATGTAACAAATCTGCACATGCTACACATGTATCCCAGAACTTAAAGTATAATGTTTAAAAATTTTTAAAAAAAGCCAACAAAGGGCTGGGCATGGTGGCTCATGCCTGTAATCCCAGCACTTTGGGAGGCCAAGGTGGGCAGATCACTTGAGGACAGGAGTTCAAGACCAGCCTGGCCAATATGGCAAAACCCCATCTCTACTAAAAATAGAAAAAATTAGCCGGGTGTGTTGGCATGTGCCTGTAATCCCAGCTACTCAGGAGGCTGAGGCAGGAGAATTGCTTGAACCCGGGAGGCAGAGGTTGCAGTGAGCCAAGATTGTGCCACTGCAATTCAGCCTGGGCAACAGAGCGAGACACAGTCTCAGAAAAAAAAAAAAAAGCCAACAAAAAGTCAAAGACAGCTGTAAACAATATCATGTTAGTCCCAATTCATTTCTCCACAAAGTTATAAAAATATAAGAAGTAGAAGGATATCTAAATATAAAATATACTTGCTATTTACATAAATTCTTGGCCTACATGTTCAAGCCTTGACATCTATCAAAAAGAGAAGTCCATAAATTAAAGCTGAGATGTCTAGCAAGCCAATAGGTCTGTAATTGGAAATGATGGGAAGCAATAAAAAGAATTTCCCTTATATAAACAAGATGAACTATCTACTAGTTCCAAATTGAAATGGACTACGTGGAAATTAAACACAAACTTACAAATTCCTTCATAGTGCACCACAAAAGATCTAATAGTCTCCAAGCTAGAGACTAAAGTAAATAGATGGCAGAGGGGTTAAAGTGTGCTTTGTGATTTTCTTAATAAGAGATGCAAATCACAGTGATAAATATGGCTTTGGAGATTGCTACCGATTATATAAAGAAAGCCTAAATAAATATTTGCCAGATCTTTATGATGCAGGTTTAAATTTTCAACTGTAAAACCCAATGCTTGGCAATAGCACCTAGAGTTTTCAAGCACAAAGAGAGGTATTTTGCTTAACGGAAAAAGCAACAGACTAGGAAATGGCAGACCCAGGTTAAAATTTAATTAGTATATAACCAAAAACATGTCAGTCTCATGGGCCTTGATTTCTTTATTATTAAAATAAAAGAGTAGGCTTTTTAAAAAAATCTCCAAATTTCCAAATGTTTCCATCTTAGCATTCAAAGATTTCTGAAGACCATTGCTTTCTCTCCCTAAATTCTGATCTGTTTGCGTAGTCCTTTCATAAAACTTTAGTAATTCTTACCTTGGAGCTTTTGAACCCCATTTGAATGCTTTTCCTGTGAATCTTCTAGAATCTGGCCCCTTCCTTTCCTCTCAATTTAAATCCTCAGAGCCAGCCTTCTCTATCCACTCGAGCTCCTCCTTTCTATCACATAAACCTGTTTAATTGTGATACTATTTATCACAGTAGAATTATCTCTGTGAGGGCAGGGGCTCTGCTGTCTTCATCCAATAAATAGAGGTTGGCTCAGAGTAATCACTAATATAAACATCTACTAAATGAATGAATGATATCACTAACTCTTGTATTTTAAGTGAAATATAAATTTCTGAGATGTCTGCTGCAATATTAAATAGGTAATTATGGCAATACTTTCGGGACTTACAAGACTTCCCTGCAATCTTATTTTAAAATGGCAAAAATAAAAAAAACCAACCTCAGGATATAAACACTACTAGAGAATAGTCATTCAAGTCAATATCTAATTTCTTGATTTTTAAAATATAATGCAGAATTTTTTTTTCATCTCTTACTGGCATCATGAGCATTTATATATGGTTCCTTCAAGTTTTCAATCTCAACAAAACTGGAAGATATGTATTATTTAAAAATAAGACAACAAAAGCTACATCAGGAAAATTCAATACATTGTAGCCAGGATGAAGGCACTTTTAATATTGCATATATTCATAAATAATCAAATACAGAATACGAACTGTTTTTTAAAAGTATTTTCATCTGTTAGTGGTGAGTTCATATGCTTGCAAATTGTCGTTCTTAATGAAGGTTGAATTCAGGTGTCTCAGAACCAGAGAGAAATGAATTTTCTATTCCTTTCCTGGCTTGTGATCTTTATTATTGAACTGAGCCTATTCCATTTCCTACAGACTATAAGTGAATGCTTGTGCCATTCTTTTTGTGAAATACTATGAGTTCATACTAGTTAAGTATTTTAGTAGTTCAGCTGCAAAAAATATATAAGATTAACTAAAATAAACTGGAATCATCCATCAATAAAGTTGCTGGCATTATGATTGAACTCAGCTAAAAGATCAAAGATCCTGAGTTTACATGTTGTTTGACCTAGGGAGAAATGTTTCACCTGTCAACTGATGAATCTAGCAGAACATGTCGAAGAATTAGGACATATTGTGGAGACGTGGGTAAGTATGTATCAGGAATACAATAAATGTTGGTTGCATGTTGAAAGAACTCAGTTATTCTGCACGTTAACTTCTATATGGACTATACCACCGGTCACCTGATTATTTGGCAACCCTCACATCCAGAGTAACTGGTTCGGGAGAGGATCTATGAGATCTAGTTGGGGTCTGATGATTTCCGTCCTATTTGCCAAACCCAAGTGCATTTATGTAATATATAGTTGGTGACAGATATAGAAGCCCAGCTTTCTTCTAACATGGTAAGGTCTTATTTTGCAGTCCTTTCATAAAACTTCAGTAATTTTCACCTTGGAGCCTTTGAGGTAGAAAAGGGTTTCTCTGCCACTATATAAAAGAATACTGTGAGATTTTATCATAAAGCACTTTCAAAGAACTCTGCCCCAATTCTACCCCACACAGGTAACATATTATTCAGAACATATTAAACTATTATGAAATTCAGGATATTCCAAAATTAGATTTTTAAAAGACAGAAATTCCAGAAACTAAGTTTGGAATATAACATAAACATAAAGTCAGAGGCTGTGTCTGCAAGACACAAAGACGTCAAGTCGGCTCAGTGAAAAACATTGGTATAACAATTAGTTTGGTGTTTTACAGAAAAACAAATGGTTGATTGTGCAGATTTTTGTTTTTCAGCTGGTCTTCTGGCATCATCTGGGCATAGCCTTATTCCTACTGACTGATAATAATCTCTTCCCATACTGAGTAAAACAATATGACTTCATTGATTGAGCAAAGGAATGAAAATCAAGAACTCACTCCCCTAATCTTATTCTGCCAGTGATTTGTTCTCTGACCTTAGGCAAGGAATTTCATTTCAGTTTCCTTATCTAGAAAATGAGAATAATGATCTTATCTATATACTCCCACAGGGATAGTTTGAGTGTCATTGTTCACAAAGGATGATAGATATTTCTAATGTACAATGTGTGAATACTGTATCACAATATCAGTATTGTCAAATAGCATTGTCAACAAAAGAGAGGCAGTTCCAAAGTAATATTTTCTACTCCTTACAGAGTAATGGCAACTTAACATAGTGGCTACCAAGCATATTAAGCTAAGAAATTGCTATTAATTCTGTGTGCAAAAACTCCTGCACTTGTAAACTCCTGTTTATTTCGTTTGTTTTTAGATTTGTTTATACTTTTCAAAACCATTACAAAGACAACCATGATGATTCTCCCTATACCACTGCCTCAGAAATCATGCTAAGATAGCTCTACACCAATAAGTGAATAACATTAATTGATTTGTTATGTTGTATCTCCCATTAAAACACAGTTCAAGACACATGCTAATGTTACACTGAATTCTCTTCTACAGCAAATAGAGTAGGATTCCAGCATGAATTATTTTGAGAGAAGAAAGTACATCTGTCTAAATTATTAAAGTGCCATCACGTAGAAGAGTTGTTCTCTCCTTTCCTGGGGAAAAATATCCACTAAGACCAAAGAGAACAAACACAGCTGATTCATTTTATGCATACAACTCAACCTATGGGTCTCAAAGGGCGCTTGGCTCCCAACCATGAAAATTCTGTGTGCTGCAGACATTGGTCAGTAAGTTTTACTGTTAAACTGTAGACTGAATTAGATCATGATCCATTAAGGAAGTGTCTATATTAGTTGACTCAAGAAAGCTTACCAAAAGAGCTTTTTGAGGATACATCTAATAGGTGCCAGGTCCTAGGGTCTATCAGGGTTGTTACTGGTCAAGAAGCCCAGCTGAGGTTACTTTATAGTTAGAGGCAATAATCAACAACTTTTGTAGGCAAAAATTAACTATCTCTTCCATATGGCATAGCATAGAAATTGTGAGCCTGAACCATACATTGGTTCAAATGCTGATCACATTTTTGAGAAAAATTAGTCTTATTCTAAAGACCCCAATAGTCCAATCCCTTATGGGAATAAACCAACTCCTTATCAAAACTGGCTATTAGGTGTTCAGTACAGTATGTCAATTTTATTGTTTATATATCCGGTATGTAAAGCAGATGAGTATCTTTTTAATTAACAATATATAATTGTAACATTCAATATTTTGCCAGCTAATTTAATTGAAAATTACAATTTCCCATGAAAAGTACAATTTCCCATGAAAACAGCATTTACAGCATCTCATATTGCAGAGAAATGCTCAGAGAAATAACTTGATTCTTTATTCCTCTTGGGACTCTAACTCCTCACTTGGTATTATATCTGCAATAAATCACCAGGAATTAACATACTTGGATTATATTATCCCAGTTTCCTACAGAAAATCTTTCACTGGGTAAAGATATAATGAGACATGAGACCCAGTGTATCTACTTTTCAAAACTTACTCTAAGGAAATAATCTAAATATTTACATGCATTTATTTAGTTATATCCCTACCTTGTTCTAAAAATGTCTGAAGGTTTGCATAAATTATAAAATGCCTCAAAATATAATAAAATTTAAAATAAGTAGATGAAGGAAATAAGACAAAAGGTAAAGAAAAGGACGATGACTCCAGGAACTTGCCTATTATGCTTTACATAGATATCTTCAGATGCCAATCCATGTTCAAGCGATGTGAGCCAGATTTGGCACTGTGCCTTTCTAGCGCTCACAGTAAAGAAGTAAACACATTCAGTTACCTAATTCCATGAAGAAAATATTAATAAACTATTAATAAAAACACATACACACACACAACTACAGTCATGTGCCAAATAAAGATGTTTCAGTCAACAACAGCCTGCATAAATGATGGTGGTTCCATAAGATTATAGTGGAGCTGAAAAATGCTATTGCCTAGTGACCTCATTGTGCTACCACTTGTAGCACAATGCATTATTACATGTTTGTTGTGTACAATACATAATATATGATAACAATAATTAATGACTATGTTACTGGTTTATGTATTTACTATGCTATATTTTTTGTTATTATTTGAGAGTGTACCCTACCAGCCTGGGCAACACAGTGAGACCTTATCTTTACAAAAAATGAACAAAATTATCTGAGTGTGGTGGCACATGCCTATAGTCCCAGCTACTCGGGAGGATGAAGTGGAAGGATCATCTGAGCCCAGGGAGGTCAAGGCTGCAGTGAGCCATGATCACACCACTGTACTCTAGCGTGGACAACAGAGTGAGACTCTGTCTCAAAAAAAAAAAAAAATACATGCAAAACAGACAGAGAGTATACTCTTTCTACTTATAAAAACATATTTAACTATAAAACAGCCTCAGGCAGGTTCTTCAGGAGCATTCCAGAAGAAAGCACTTTTATCATAGGAGAGGACAGCTCCATGGGTGTTATTGCCCCTAAAGACCTTCCAGTAGAACAAGGTGTGGATGTGGGAGATAGTGATATTGATGATCCTGACCCTGACTAGTCCAAAGGTCGTGTGTGTGTTTATGCCTTTGTTTTTGACAAAAAAAGTTTAAAAAGTAAAAAATAGAAGAATTTTAAAATAGAAAAAAGCTTATAAAGACACAACAAGAGAATATTTTTGTAGAGCTGTAAAATGTGTTTGTTTTACACTGTTATTACAAAAGAGTCAAAATATTTTTTAAAATTAAAAAATGTATAATGTAAAAAGTTATAGTAAGCTAAAGTTCATTTACCATTGAAAAAAGAAAAATATTTTTTATAAATCTGATGTAGTCTAACTGTACAATATTTATCATAAAGTACAATAACATCACAGGCCTTCACATTGACATCACAGGCCTTCACTGACACACCCAGGGTCCTGCAACTTGAGTCCTGCAAGTTACATTCATGGTTAGTTGCTTATACAGGTGTAACATTTCTAATATTTTAAACCATGTTGTTACTGTGTCGCTTATATGTTTAGATATAAATACACAAATACTATTGTGTTACAGTTGCTTACAGTATTCAGTTTAGGGACATGCTGTACAGGTTTGTAGCCTAGGAGCAATAGGCTATACCACAGAGCTTAAGTGTGTAGTAGGCTATAGCAC